>NC_000004.12:112860774-113012290 GCF_000001405.40 Homo sapiens
TGTAAGTCTTGCTTTTCAGGGTTGGGTGACTGGGGCTATTGTAATTTGGGGCCCTTAGCCATAGGAGCTGCCAAAGGGTACAAAAGAATTGCTTCACTGTTAATTTTGCTGGACTTTTCTAAGGGTAAACAAACTTCCTTTGACATGTACAAGTTTCCAAAGCTGTGCTTTCCTCAGGGAAGGTAGTTAAAGCTAAAAGAAGCAAAGCTTTTAGATTTAATTCAGTGGGTGAACATGAAAGCCATGCATAAATCTTAGAAGAACTATGCTTTGCTGAGAGGCAAAGAATTGTCTCTACACTCTGATGCGGGGATATGCAGGAGGAGCCCAGGAGGTCCCTGTGAGGGTGCAAACCAATTAAGTAAGTCTTGAACCGAAATTGCTTTTTATCATCTGGGTGAGAAGCCACAGATTTAAAGAAAAGGGCTATTGTTTTACAAAGACCTAATTAGCTGGGCTACACTCAAGCTCTTGGGTTTTTATCTTATTAGAGAAAGGAAAGGTTGAAATTGCTTATGGGCTACTTCCTGGGTTGGAATTCCTAGGAATTTAGGATTTCTGAATCCTTTTCTAAGGAATACAGAATTCTTCCTGAAGCCATGTGTATCGGACTAACTATATTTTCCGTTGAGACTCAAACTAAAAATGCAATTGCTCTGATCTACTAGAAGTTTGTCCTAAATATCTTCCTTACTACAGGCGTGCTAGTATAAGTATGCTTTAGCCTTCTTGAGTACACAGACTTTGGAGTAAATAACATGTGGGTTTAAAACTCAGCTGTGTAAAATCTCAGCTGTACACCAAGTGGCTCTTTGCTTTGAAGCAAGTTACTTGAGCTTATATATAAAATAGGGTATCTACAGGAGTATTGAGAGTATTAAATAAAATTTAGTGACATAGTTAGTGTCTCAAGGGACCTGAAAGGGCTTCTAACTCTTACATGGTGTAATGTTTTAAAATGTGGCACTTTCAGTGTGACAATGTTTTATAATAAATATGAATTGCACTAATTCTTCTTTGTTGAAAACAAACAGGCAAGCAACAAAAATGTGGCTACATAGAGACAGAGAGAGAGAGAGAGAGAGAGAGAGAGAAACTCTCACAGTTTATGCGAGAGTCACAGTTATGTGGGAAAACTTAACTAAGAAGACTTTTCCTTATTCTTTAGGAGCATCAAAAAATGGCACCGAGTCCAAACCTTGGCTCATGGATTGAAATCTATAATGTGCCATACTGACTGAGTGCCTGGGGCAAGTTCTTCAACTTCTCTGCCTCAGTTTCCTCTTCTACAAATTGTGAAGATAGTAGTACCTCTAGGGTGGTTGTGAAAATGAAAGGGAAATAAAGGATGTTAAAGAAAGTATCCAGCATGTACTGAGAGCCCAGTAAAAGTTAGTGATCACCATTACCTCCACTACTGTATTAAATTGCTGAGCATTCAATTTTAAAAATAGGAAGGAAGAGCTTTAGTGCAGTAGTGTTTGACAGATTTAGGATACAATATCTTTCCTTAAAGTAAATTTATTTCATTATTTTTTAGCATCTAATTATTGCCCTTTGATTTGATAAAGAGATATAGATGGTTTGTCCCACGAGAACAGTTCTAAGCTACACTTTTTGACATGTTAATCTTCTGTGTGAAGGCTGGACTTCATTATTTCTAGAGTGTTCCTGAACAAGGCAGATCAGAGCTTTAATTTTTGGAATGTTAACAAGGGCAGCTGTATACCAGAGTTCTAGTTGTTTTTATGAGATTTTTAAAGAAGCACAGAAAGGAAACTAGTGAAAAAAAAGTTTATAGACTCTGGTTTGAATCCAAATCCTTTCAGAAGTGTTCTCTTCATATTAGATGGCAATAAAATTAGTCATTTAAATACTCAAATGTGTGCTTTTATAATTTATAATTGTATTCTTAGATTTTTTTTGCAATTATTTCGTATCTTTGATTTGGAAAACATTTTTAAGGCATGAGATAAATGTTTTTTGTATAAATGAAAAAAATTAAGCTGGGTGTGCATGCACCTGTATTCTCGGCTACTTGAGAGGATGAGGCGAGATGGAGTGCAGGAGTTTGAGTCCAGCCTGGGTAACATAGCAAGACTCTCTCTCTTAAAAAAAAAATGAAATGAAAGCCATTTATTCTAGAGGATTCAGGAAACTCCAGAGTTTGAATTTTCCTATAAATGCAGTCTTTATCCATAAAATATGTTGTGCACCCTTAGTGATGAAGTAAAGTATTTGAAATCTATTAAATGCTTTGCCATTTTATAATTTATTCTAAGCTATGCTTATGTTTCTGTGTAGAACAAAGGATTAGGAAACTAACTTATTTCTTTCCCCCAAGCATGCTGTATTTTTTTCTTTGAAAAAATGATTTCTAAGATATTTTAATTTAAGTTATAGTCAGTGTGACTATAGTCAGTGTGATATTTAATTTTAAGTTATAGTCGGTGTGATTATAAATATGAAAATCTGAAGAGTCAATAGAGAAAAAGACTAGGAGAAATAGTGGCTATGTATGGGTAGTAGAGATGTTGGTAATTTATTTATCTTTCAAACATTCTTATTAAAAAATTTTAATAATTATGTATTACTCCTAAATTTAGAAGTCAGTTTCTAATTCGATGTAAGATGCAATAAATTCAAAGATTAGATTTCAGCATTATTTAAAAAATTACAAAATATTGGTTTTTGGAAATTCTTACATAATTTTGTAGAAAACATCTAACTTTAGAGTATCTTTTTTTTTTTTTTTTTTTTTTTTTTGAGACGGAGTCTCGCTCTGTCACCCAGGCTGGAGTGCAGTGGCGCGATCTCGGCTCACTGCAAGCTCCGCCTCCCGGGTTCACGCCATTCTCCTGCCTCAGCCTCCCTAGTAGCCGGGACTGCAGGCGCCAGCCACCACGCCCGGCTAATTTTTTGTATTTTTAGTAGAGACGGGGTTGCACCGTGTTAGCCAGGATAGTCTCGATCTCCTGACCTCGTGATCCTCCCGCCTCGGCCTCCCAAAGTGCTGGGATTACAGGCGTGAGCCACCGCGCCCGGCCTAGAGTGTCTTTATTATTATTTTTTTGATGTAGTGATGACTAACCAGTCAATTCCATTTTGTGTATTGTGAGGACAATAATGAAATGTTTGTGAACTAAAGAAGGTAAAAAATTAGAAGATAAAATACTATTATTCAAAGAATTACTAAGAGATAAAAGATGATACAGTCAGGAATTTCTGAGAGGCTTACATTTGGGTGGGAATACATGCAACCAAAAAATTGTCTAAATGTAGAGGTCACAGAAAGAATAAAGAGATTAGGTAGGGTGTTATAGAGAAGAGCCAAAAATTTTTTGTAGAAGGAAGAAAACAGTTCAAAATAACACGGAAAGACCAAAATAAGGGTTCTGGTTAATGCATGAATAAAATTTATTCATTTAGCATTCAAAAAAGAGTTTGTTCCATTGATTCTCAGTGCCATCTCTTATCACTATGACATTATGACATTTTGGAAAAGACTAGTAACATTTTCACTAAATGGTAAGGATTTTTATTTTTATTTTTTGAGACGGAGTCTCGCTCTGTTGCCCAGGCTGGAGTGCAATGGCATGATCTCAGCTCTATGCAATCTCCGCCTCCCAAGTTCAAGCGATTCTTCTGCCTCAGCTTCCCGAGTAGCTGGGATTACAGGCGTCTGCCAACATGCCCAGCTAATTTTTGTATGTTTAGTAGAGATGGGGTTTCATCATGCTGACCAGGCTGGTCTCGAACTACCGACCTCAGGCGATATGCCCACCCCGGCCTCCCAAAGTGCTGGGATTACAGGCGTCAGCCCCGGCGCCCGGCCGGTAAGGATTTTTAAAGTATTTTAAAAAAACGTTTACTTGGTCAAAGGTGATTCATTAGCTCATACTATGTTTTGATATAATATAAAAGCAACGAAGTGCTATGATGATGGCACTTTGAGTGGCTGTTAAGAGTAGAAACCAGCCGGGCGCGGTGGCTCAAGCCTGTAATACTAGCACTTTGGGAGGCCGAGGCGGGCGGATCACGAGGTCAGGAGATTGAGACCATCCTGGCTAACACGTTGAAACCCCGTCTCTACTAAAAATACAAAAAATTAGCTGGGCGTGGTGGTGGGCGCCTGTAGCTCCAGCTACTTGGGAGGCTGAGGCAGGAGAATGGCGTGAACCCAGGAGGCGGAGCTTGCAGTGAGCCGAGATCGCGCCACTGCATTCCAGCCTGGGCGACAGAGCGAGACTCCATCTCAAAAAAAAAAAAAAAAAAAAAAAAAAAAAAAAAAAAAAAGGAGTAGAAACCAGAGATTCATTGGTCTTAGAAATAGCATTAGTGCAACATGTGGATTATGTGTACTCTCATCTACCCAATGGTATGAGCACTTCATCTGCTGTCAAAGTAATGGAGAAAACTCTGGTTTAGCATTAGAAATCACCATCTTCTCTAGTACAAGTCATGAAACTTAATGTCGGCAGTTTTAAAAACTGCAGTAAAGAAATTCACCTTCTCACCTTTTATTTTATCACATAACTTTTTGAAAGCTCTGTTATTATAATTACAGTGAATTTTGGTTTATATAATACCAACCTCACAAATGCAGAAATTCTCAATGATAATGTTTATGGTTTTAAAATGTTTATTCAGGTTTTAAAGACTTCTTCTTTTAAAAAGATTTCTGAGTATATGAAAAGTATTACTATGCCATATAAAAAAAGATTTATTTTAATAATCTCACTCTACTTACTGCCAGTTTTATCCAGAAAAATAGATGAATAAACTGCTTACAAAACAGTTAGGGAAAACAACATGTGGTGTGGAGGTATGGAGGTAGGGAACATGGTGAGTCACATGAATGAAATTTTGCTGCAGTTAGAATTTATAAAAGATGTGCTGATAGAAATTACTGTATCTAATCTAATTATATAACCATTAGAAAAATGTAAATATTCTTATATACCTGAGATTTATCTCCAGCCATATATACTTGAAAATTAAAGATGGATAAATTTCATACATTTCTGTGCAGCTTTATAAAGATCTATTTTTGGTAAGGATGGTCTACTAGGTTTTTTATGTATTTATTCCAAAAATTCATTGCTCTAAGTTTTAAAGAAATTAAGTCCTCTGTTTTTTTCTGTAGCAATGTGAGTTTCAATTTTTAAACAATGTTTTGTGTGAAATAAAGATTTGTTACACACACACACACACAGCCTTACTTCACCACTTTGGTGGCTCACTGTGCTACATGTATGCAGCATTCTGTTTTAATAAGAGTCAGCACTACTGTTTTTCTTAAACACACAGCAGCTATAGCTATCTTTTCGGCTGAGGTGCAGCATACAGTGCAGCAAAGGAAAATATCTTTTGGAGTACAGAATACTCTTAATTATCAGTTACTGGGCATCTACTTTGTGACTGTAATTTATGTCCTCCTATCTCCTGCAAATCCTAGACAAGAAAAAAATCCTTAAATCAACATGATACAATGGGTGCTGCTTATCAACTGCTAGGTAAGAACATCAAAATCTGGATCACAGTAGAGGTTATAGTGAGGCCAAGACCTTAGTCAACATATGGGAAGGAACCACTTATGTGAGAGTATATAATGACAATAAAGTGAGTGAGTGACTAAACCCACACTATGTAATAAAAATAACATGAAGTTGAGCACTCTTCAGGTACCTTAAACATAGTTATATTTTCATAACAAACTAAAAGACAGCATTGTTCCTTTTTATTCTTTCATTGTGAGACTTGGTTATTGCAGAAAAATGATAAAACATTAACAAACCACAAATAAGCAAAATGAAGATAATACAGTTTACTAATCATGTAACTACCCAGAAATGAAAAGTTAATTAATCAATGTTAACATTGGTATAAACTTTTTGTATGTTTTTTCTCGTGTTATTTTTTTTTAAAGGTAGTATTTTGCAATGCTACTGATGTGAATTTTAAATTTTTTCTTAGAAGTGATTTATGACTGAAGAAAAACTCTGTGTTGGTCCTGCTCGGATTCTTTTTTTCCTTTTCTCTCATAATTCCGCATTGTCTACTGATAATCTTTTGTGGTGATGTATTAGTCTTACTCTGTGTCCGACTAGTTATTTCCTTGTATCAAATCTTTTAATATAAATTACAGATAAATCTAAGTTTCCAAAATTACTTCACATTTACTTTTCATGTAATCAAAAATTATTTGTATTTCTATAGGTCTATTTCCTAGACTCATGCAGTGCTCTGTTTCTAGTTTCTTCTTGAATACACTTTAAAAGTTATTATGTATTGTCTGTAAGGCAATTCTTTCTGCTTTCATAATTACCTTTTTTTTTGAGGTCTTACATTTTTTTTTCCTTGAACTCTACCTGCCTATGTTTTATCTGCATTGAAAGTATTTTCTTATCTTCCCTAAACACTTGTTTTTCTACCTTGTGCTCTTATTTTATAAAGGCTATTGCTTTTTAAACTTTTAAAAGAATTATATTAAGATGTTTGATCAGATTTTTGTCTGTTCTCTGGTAGCATTTTTCTGGTGAATACTCTTCACTTGTCATTTATGCCTTATGTTTTTTCCTCCTATTCTTTTAGTATTATGATTTTTGTATAGGTTTTGTTTTTTTTAAATTGAGATATAATACACATATAATAAAATTCACCACTTTAAAGTGTATAATTCAGTGGTTTTTACTGTATTCACAGAGTTGTACAACCACCATTACTATCTATTATGATTTTCATCATGCTAAAAAGAAACTCTGTTAGCAGTAACTCCCCTTTCCCCCCTACTCCCTCATCCCTGGCAATCATTAATATACTCTTTGCTTCTATGGATTTGCTTATTCTGAGCATTTTATAGAAATCGAATCATACAATACATGGCCTTTTAAGTCTGTTTTTTTTTTTTCATTTGGCATAATGTTTTCTAGATTTATCCATGTTGTCATGTATTATTATTTCATTTCTTTTTGTGGCTGAATAATATTCCACTGAATATAGCACATTTTGTTTATTCATTTATTAGTTGACAGATATTTGGATTGTTCCCACTTTTTGACTATTATGAAGAATGTTACTATAAATATTTGTGTACAAATTTTCATGTGGACATAACATTTTCATTTCTCTTGGATGTATACCTATGAGTGTAATTGCTGGGTCATGTAGTAACTCTATGTTTTACCATTTGAAGAACTGCTAGACTGTTTTCCAAAGAGGCTATACCATTTTACATTTCCATCAGCATAATATGAGGGCTCTAATTTCTCCATATCCTCGCTAACATTTGTTATTATCTGACATTTTGATTTTATCCACCCTCTCTGTGTGAAGTGATATATCATTATGTTTTTGATTTGCATTTCTTTAATGACAAATGATGTTGAGCATTTTTTCATGTGCTTGTCAGGTCATTTTTATGTATTATTTGGATAAATGTTTGTCTTAGTCTGTATTGCAATGCTATAACAGACTACCACACACTGGGTATTTATAATGAACAGAAATTTATTTGGCACATAGTTCCAGAGACTAGGAAGTCTAAGAGCATAGTGTCAGCATCTGGTGGGGCCTTCAAACTTCATCACCTTATGGTGGAAGGTGGAAGGGCAAGAGAGTACATGAGAGAGAGCAAGAGACAGACAGAGAGCAAATGAGCCAAACTCAGTTTTATAACAACCCACTCTCACAATAATGAATTCACTCCAGTGATAAAAACATTAATCTGCTCCTGAGGGCAGAGCCCTCATGGCCTAATCACCTCTTAATGGTCTCACTTCTGAATACCATCATTATAGCAATTAAATTTCAATGTAAGCTTTGGAGGAGATATTCAAACCATAGCAATGTCTATTCAAATTTGTTCCTCATTTGTTTAAATTTATTTATTTTACTGTTATTTTAACTCTATATTTGTTTCATTTAAAAAATTAGGGTATAATTGACAAAATGAAAATGAGATATATTTACAGTGTATAATGTGATGTTTTGATATGTATATATACATTGTAAATGGTTAAATCAAGCTAATTAACATATCCAATATTGCCCATTTTTAAGTTAAACTATTTGTATTTTTATTATAGAATTATGAGTTTTTATATATTATGGATACTAAATCTTTATCAGAAATATGATTTACAAATATTTTATCCCATTCTAAGAGTTGTCTTTTCAGTTTCTTTTATTTATTCTTTTTTTTTGAGACAGGGTCTCACTCTGTCACCTAGGCTGGAGTGCAGTGGCAAGATCATAGCTCACTGCAGTCTCCAATTTCTGGGTTCAAGCAACCCTCCCGCTTAGTTCCCTGGGCAGCTGGAACTACAGGTGTGTGCCACCATGCCCAGCTAATTTAAAATTTTTTATTATTTTTGTAGAGACAAGGTCTCACTGTGTTGCCCAGAATGGTCTCAAACTCCTGGCCCTAAGTGATCTTCCTGCCTTGGCCTCCCAAATTGCTGGGATTACAGGCATGAGCCACCACACTTGGGCTCAATTTCTTTCTTTCTTTCTTTCTTTTTTGACAGGATCTCACTCTGTCACCCAAGGTGGAGTGCAGTGGCATGGTCTTGGCTCACTGCAACCTCCACCACCTGGGCTCAAGTGATCCTCCCACCTCAGCCCCGCAAGTTGCTGGGACTACAAGTGCATGCCACCACACCTGGCTAATATTTGAGGGGAATTTTTAGTAGAGATGGGTTTTTGCCATGTTGCCCAGGCTGGTCTTGAACTCCTGAGCTCAAGTGATCCACCTGCCTTGGTCTCCCAAAGTATTGGGATTACAGGCTTAAGCCACCACACCTAGCTCTCAATTTCTTAATAGTATCTTTTGACATACAAATTTTTAATATTAACAAAGCCCAATGTATTTATTTTTCTTTTGTTGCTTGTGCTTATGATTATTATGATTATTATTTTATTATTTGAGACAGATTCTCAGTCTATCACACAGGCAAGAGGGCAGTGGTGTGATCTCTGCTCACTGCAATTTCTGCCGCCTTAGTTGAAGTGATTCTCATGCCTCAGCCTCCTAAGTAGCTGGGACTACAGTCATGTGCCACCATGCCTGGCTAATTTTTGTATTTTTAGTAGAGACAGGGTTTCAACATGTTTGCGAGCTCATCTTGAACTCCTGGACTGAAGTGATCCACCCACCTTGGCCTCCCGAAGTGCTGGGATTACAGCCACTGTACCTGGCATATTATTATTTTGTTTGTTTTTGTTTGTTTGTTTGTTTTCTTGAGACAGAGTCTTGCTCTGTCACCCAGGCTGGAGTGCAGTGGCGAGTTCTGGGTTCACTGCAACCTCCACCTCCTGGGTTCAAATGATTCTCCTGCCTCAGCTTCCCTAGTAGCTGGGACTACAGGTGCCCGCCACCACACCCGGCTAATTTTTGTATTTAGAGATGGGGCTTCACTATGTTAGCCAGACTGGTCTTGAACTCCTGACCTCAAGTGATCAGCCTACTTCGGCCTCCCAAAGTGCTGGGATTACAGGCATGAGCCACCTCACCTGGCCATATTATTTTTTAATAATAAAAAATTATTCTGCAGTCATCTACAATGCTTGCACCTTTGGTGTCATATCTAAGAAACCCTTGCCTAGTTCAGGCCATGAAGTTATACCTACGTTTTTGTTTAAGAGTTTTATAGTGTTAGTCATTACATTTAGGTCTTTGATTCATTTTCCACTTTAAGTTAATTTTCCATATGGTATGAGGGAGGGATCCAAATTCACTTTTTTGCATGTGGATATTCAGTTGTCCCAACACTATTCCTTGGAAAGATTGTATTTACCCAGTGAATGCTCTTGAAATTTTTTATTGAAAATCAAGTGACCATAGACACATGAGTTTATTTCTGGACACTATTCCACTTATCTACATGTTTATCCATGCCTGTAGTATCACACTGTCCTGTAGTAAGTTTGAAATCAGGAAGTGTGGTTCTCCAACCTTGTTCTTTGTTCTTCTTTTTCAAGATTATTTTAGCTATTCTAGGTCCCTTACAATTCTATGTAAATTTTAAGGATCAGCTTGTCCATTTCAGCAAAAGAGGCACTGGAATTTTGATAGTGTACTGAATTTGTAGATCACTTTGGGTAGTATTGCCAATACAATATGAAGTCTTCCAATACATAAACATGGACTATCTTTCCATTTATTTAGGTCCTCATTGATTTCTTTCAACAGTATTGTGCAGTTTTCAGTGTACTTCTTTAAAATTTATTCCTAATTTAAATATTTAATAAAATAATCAAATAAAAATATTTGATTGCGTTTGATGCTATCACAAATGGAATAGTTTTATTAATTTCCATTTTGGGTTGTTTACTGCAAAGTGTTTAAGAATAGGACTGATATTTGTATATTGATCTTATATACTGCAAACTTGCTCAATTTATTAGCTTTTAGTTTTTTTTTTTTTGTGAGATGGAGTCTTGCTCTGTTGCTCAAGCTGGAGTGCAGTGGCACCATCTCGTCTCACTGCAATCTCCGTCTCCTGGGTTCAAGCAATTCTCCTGCCTCAGCCTCCCAAGAGGCTGGGACTATAGGCGCACGCCGCTATGCCCAGATAATTTTTTGTATTTTAGTAGAGATGGGGTTTCACCATGTTGCCCAGGCTGGTCGTGAACTTCCTTAGCTCAGGCAATCCGCCTGCCTTGGCCTCCCAAAGTGCTGAGATTACAGGCATGAGCCACCACGCCTGGCCTTAGTTTTTATTTTTTAAAGTTGGATTCTTTAGAGTTTTCTCTGTAAAAAATTGTGTTATTTGCAAATAAAGATAGATTTCTTTCTTCTTTTCCAATCTGAATGCCTTTTATTTCTTTCTCTTGCCAAATTGCCATTGCTAGAGCCTCCAGTACAAAGTTTAAAAGTAGTGGTGAGAGCAGACCTTCTTTTCTCTTTTTTGAAAACGTTCAGGCTTTCACCATTAAGTATGATGTTAGTTGTGGGTTTTCCATAGATGCTCTTTATCAAGTTCAGGAATTTCCTTGCTATTCCTAGCTTATTGAATGTTTTTACTAAGAAAGGGTGTTAGATTTTGTTAAATATCTTTCTGTATCTGTTGAGATGATTATGTAGTTTTTGTTTTTATTCTGTTGATATGGCATATTACATTAATTGATTTCTGTATATAAACTGACCTTGTATTCCTGAGATAGACTCCACTCGGTTGTGATATAGAATCCTTTATATGTACTACTGGATTTGGTTTGCTAGTATTTTATTGAGGGTTTTTGCATCTGTATTTTTTTTTTTTTTTTCGAGACAGAGGTCTCATTCTATTACCCAGCCTGGAGTGCAGAGGTGCAATTGTAGCTCACTGTAGCCTTGACCTCCCGGGCTCAAGGGATCCTCCTGCCTTAGCTTCCTTAGTAACTGGGACCACAGGTGGACACCACCATGCCCCGGCTAATTTTTAAATTTCTTTTGTAGAGACTGGGTCTTGCTACGTTGCCTAGGCTGGTCTCAATCTCCTGGGCTCAAGCGATCCTCCTGCCTTGGCTTCCTAAAGTGCTTAGAGTATAGGTGTCAGCCACCGTGTCCAGTCTTGCATCTGTATTTTTTTTTTTTTTGAGACAGAGTTTTGCTCTTGTTGCCCAGGCTGGAGTGCAATGGCATGATCTCGGCTCACCACAGCCTCTGCCTCCTGGGTTCAAGCGATTCTCCCGCCTCAGCCTCCCGAGTAGCTGTGATTACAGGCATGCGCCATCACGCCTGGCTAATTTTGTATTTTTAATAGAGACGAGGTTTCTCCATGTTGGTCAGGCTGGTCTCGAACCCCCAACCTCAGGTGATCCACCCACCTTGGCCTCCCAAAGTGCTGGGATTACAGGCATGAGCCACCACACCTGGTGCATCTGTATTCTTAAGGGATATTCTTCTTTAGTTTTATTTTCTTGTAATTCTTTGTTATGCTTTCAGTATCGGTGATACAGACATCACAGAGTGAGTTTGGGAGTGTTCCCTCCTCTTCTATTTTTTGGGAGAGTTTCTCAAGAATTGGTGTTTTATCTTATTTAAGCATTTGGCAGAATTTACCAGTGAAGCCATCTGGTCATGGGCTTTTCTTTCTGTGAAAAAAATTTTTTTTTTAATTACTGAATCAACTTCTTTAGTTGTTATGCATGTATTCAGATTTTCTATTTCTTCTTTTATTATTTTGGTTGATTGTATCTTTCTAGGAATTTTTCTATTTAATCTGAGTTATCTCATTTGTTGGAATGCAGTTGTTCATAGTGTTTACTTATAATCCATTTTTATGCCTTGTGAGATTGGTAGTAATATTTAGTCTTTCATTTCCAATTTGAGTAATTTGAATTTTCTCTCTTTTTTCTTGATTGATCTAAAATAAAATTTTGTTAATTTGTTGACTTTTTCAAATAATCAACTTTTGGTTTTGTTGATTTAAGAAAATTCTCTATTTAGTTTATTTCTGCCCTAATATTTATTATTTCCTTCCTTCTGCTTGCTTTGGGCTTAGGTCGCTCTCCTTTTTCTATTTTTATAAGTTGAAATGTTAGGTTATTGACCTAAGATCTTTTTTTGTTTATAAAATAGGCATTTACCATTATAGGTGTCCCCTGCTTTCACTGCATTTCTTAAGTTTTAGTATGTCGTATTTTCATTTTATCTCAAAATATTATGTAATGTCCCTTATGACTTATTCTTTGACCCATTGGTTATTAGAAGTATTTTGTTTAATTTCCACTTATTTTTAATTTTCCAAATTTCCTTCTGTTATGGGTTTCTTTTTCTTTCTTTTTTTTTTTTTTGAGATGGAGTCCCGCTCTGTTGCCCAGGCTGGAGTGCAGTGGCGTGATCTTGGCTCACTGCAAGCTCCGCCTCCCGGGTTCACACCATTCTCCTGCCTCAGCCTCCCGAGTAGCTGGGACTACAGGCACCCGCCACCACGCTTGGCTATTTTTTTTTTTTTTTGTATTTTTGGTAGAGACGGGGTTTCACCGTGTTAGCCAGGATGGTCTTGATCTCGACCTCGTGATCCGCCTGCCTCAGCCTCCCAAAGTGCTGGGATTACAGGCGTGAGCCACCATGCCCGGCCCCTGTTATTGGTTTCTAAAGTTATTCCACTTTGGTGAGAGAATATACTGTGTATGATTTCATTCCTTTTAAATTTATTAAAGCTTGCTTTGTGGAATAATATGTGATTGATCCTGGAGAATGTTCCATGTGTGAAAGTGATTTAATAAATAAACATTTGAGAAAGTTTCCAGCTTTAATTTTGAAGATGGTAAATATTGATAGATACAATTCACACACACAAAAGCTCTTGGGGTTCTCTTTTTTTTTTTTTTTTTTTGAGTCAGAGTCTCGCACTGTCTCCCAAGCTGGAGTTCAATGGCGCCATCTCGGCTCACTGCAACCTCCGCCTCCTGGGTTCAAGCGATTCTCCTGCCTCAGCCTCCTGAGTAGCTGGGATTACAGGCGCCTGCCACCATGCCTGGCTAATTTTTTGTATTTTTAGTAGAGACGGGGTTTCACCATGTTGGTCAGGCTGGTGTCGAACTCATGACCTCAGGTAATCCGATCGCCTCAGCCTCCCAAAGTGCTGGGATTACAGGCGTGAGCCACTGCAACTGGCCCACACTTTTAAAAATTATTAAGCCAAGGCGGGCAGATTACGTGAGGTCAGGTGTTTGAGACCAGCCTGACCAACATGGTGAAACCCCATCTCCACTGAAAATACAAAAAATTAGCTGGGTGTGCTGGCAGGCGCCTGTAATCCCAGCTACTTGGGAGGCTGAGGCAGGAGAATCGCTTGAATGTGGAAGGCGGAGGTTGCAGTGAGCCAAGATCGCACCACTGCACTCCAGCTGGGTGCGACAGAGGAAGACGCCATCTCAAAAAAAAAAAAAAAAAAAAAAAGTGTGAATAGCTCCTAACACCAAAATGTTTGATAACCACTGACCTAAAGGAATGGTGGGAAATGACTCTGGATAAAAATTCAACTCAGAAATGTTTGCTTGGTGAATGAATATGAATTTTCTTCTGTAATCAGTGGGAAATCAATGGAGGTTTTTAGAAGGAATTAGTAATTATATCGATTGCATCCCCGGGGCGTAGAGCAATTCCTTGTACTTAGTAGCTCAGCAAATATTTGTCGGATGGTAGTCAGAAGTATGGACTGAGAAACTGAGAGACTAGCTGTGGAAACACTTGTTTGTTTTTAGAATTCTAGGCAAAAATGCTTAGATGAATGAAGGCCATTCTGAGAAATTATGTACCAATTCCCTAATTACTTTTTTTTTTTTTTTTGAGACTGAGTCTGGCTCTGTTGCCCAGGCGATCTTGGCTCACTGTAACCTCCGCCTCCTGGGTTCAAGTGATTGTTGTGCCTCAGCCTCCTCAGTAGCTGGGATTACAGGTGGGCGCCACCATGCCCAAGGTTTTTGTAGTTTTAGTAGAGATGGGTTTTGCCATGTTGGCCAGGATGGTCTCAAACTCCTGACTTCAAGTGGTCCACCCATCTGGGCCTCCCAAAATGTTGGCTTATAGGCTTGCACCACTGCGCTCCGCCTAATTATGTTTTTTGGGACAGGGTCTTGCTCTGTCACCCAGGCTGGAGTGCAGTGGTGCCATCATAGCTCACTGCACCCTTGAACTCCTGGTTCAAGTGATCCTCCTGGCTTAGCCTCTTGAGTTGCTTGGACTACAGGCATGTGCCACCATGACAGGCTAATTACATTTATTTATTTATTTATTTATTTATTTATTTGTAGAGATGAGAATCTTACTATTTTGTGCAGGCAGATCTTGAACTCCTACCCTCAAGTGATCTTCCCACCTCAGCCTCCCAAAGTGTTGGGATTACAAGTGTGAGCCACCACGCACAGCCCCTTATTACCTTTAATTTCTGCCGTAATCATTACAGCAAATGTGAAATATTTCCTGGATATTTCTGTGGATATTTCTGGATATTTGTGTGTGTGTGGTTTTTTGTTTGTTTGTTTGTTTTAGGAGACAGGGTCTCACTCTTCCCTCAGGCTGGAGTGCAGTGGTGTGCTCATAGCTCACTGCAGCAGCCTCAAACTCCTGGGCTCAAGCAATCTTCCCACTTCAGCCTCCCAAGTAGCTGAGACCAGATGAGCGGATCACCCTCCCTGGCTAATTTTTCTTTTTTCTTTTTTTTTTTTTTTTAGAGACAAAGTCTCGCCATGTTTTCCAGGCTGGTCTTGAACTCCTGGCCTCAAGTGATTCTCCTACCTTGGCTTCCCAAACTGCTGGGATTATAGATGTGAGCCACCACGTGTGGTATATTTCGGATTTTTTTTTTCAATAGAACATTCAATGTCTTACCAACAATTTAATGTGGGTTTTGAATGAATATAATCAATCCGTTTTCAATGCTTTTATTCAGATAAGTTTGTAGTTTGAACAAATAGAAAGTCAAACATATATTCTGAGTACAAAACAGCTTCAAGGGATTCACTGCAGCGATAATCACAGTATCTCTTCTTTAAAATAGGAAATCCTGCTTGGGATTTCTACGTACTTTAAAATGTTAATTTAAATCAATGTAACTTTGCATATACTGTGGGAATATTTTGAGGTTACACAGTGGATTCCAGCAGAAAGCAGCTGGCACACTCAAAATAGGATAAATTAGGGTGTTTTTATTTATGTAGGAAGTATTTACAGAGGTAAATAAAGAGGGTAGGAAACTGCGGGGATGGAAAAAGCAAAAAAAAAGAAGTATGTGTGGAATGTAGGGCACAGGTATAGGCTCTAACTTTGAGATAGGATATACCCCTTCCTCTGACCCTACAGGAAAGTGTTAAAAAACAGATGTAGAGATGGATATATTGCCATCAAAAGGTGATGGTAAGGCATTTGCTGCTTGTCTGAGACTAGGCTAGAGCTCTTTCCCTGATTCTTACTGTTTGCCCAAGGCCTGTTACCTGGTAAGGGAGCGAATTTATCCTCATCTTGCAGCCAAAGAAGAAGTAATTTTTATCATTGCAAGGAAATATTACACCCAATCCATGTGTCAGGTCTACTATTCTAATATTCATTTTCCTGTGCACATCAGATACCACAAAGTCTAGGTTCCAGGATCACTGAGGTACCCCTGTCTCCATTAGTAGAGATAATTTGTTGCACTGATAGATAAAAAGTACAGTGTAGCTGTACTGAAAATGACATGGAACTGCTTTCTCAACCCATAATTTTTTTCTACCCAACAATCTCCTCTCCCTTCCTCTGAGCAGATGACTTTCTCCCCCTTAATTGAGATAAATAAGACCTTCAGAACAAAACTCTATTCCTTTCTCCCCATCTTCACCTTTCCCCCTTTAGTTTCAGGGATTAGGTGTTCACCTGGGCTCTGCAGTTCTCATTTCATTCTTTGTCGTTGCTATTTTACTTTATCATCTATTTCCTCTCCCTTCTGTATTTTCAACCTCTTTCCCCCATTGCCTCCTATTGCTAAGCCTGTAAGACGTTTTCATCCTAAAATGTCAACAACAACCAGAATGCCCACCACAATAATTAAAGGAGAATGTTCTGCTGTCTGCACATCAGTTCTATTGCCTACTGCCTTTCTCTCTCTCTCATGCTCTCTCTCTTTTTGAGATAGCATCTTACCTGTCATCCAGCCTAGAGTGCTGTGGTATGATTATAGCTCACTGCAGCCTCAAACTGCAGGGCTCAAGTGATCCTCACATCTCAGCCTCTCAAAGTGCTGGGATTACAGGCATGAGACACAGCACCTGGCCCCTTATCTCTCTTTTCTTGCTCAGTCAAGCTTCTTTAAAGTATGAGCTACAAAGGATAGGATACAGAATTTTCAGAGCCCAGGACAAATGAAAATGAATGGTTACTTGTTCAAAATTATTAAGAATTTCAAGATGGCAACCTCAGAGTATTAAACAACTCATGGGGACTGGGGCCCTATGTGACTGCATAGGTTGCCCATCACAAAGCTGACTCAGAATCTACACTTCTCTTTTTTACTTACTGAACTCCCATTCCCTCCTCACCCACTGCAATTTACCTTTTACCTCCATCTTAATGCTGGAGGTAAAACCTCCACCTTGGATTCTCCACCTAGCTAAAATCGTTAAATATTTTTCAGTTCTTATATTTATCTTTTTGCATTAACCTAATCTTCCCATATATTTCTATCTCCCATCCATAATCATGGTTGTTAAAAAATTACTTGTTGAATGAATGAATGACCAATCTTTGACTCCTGTTTGTTGGATTCTCAGGGTCCTGACTATCTTATCATTTTATGCCATACATCTACCCTAGTTAGTCCCTCCAGGTTTACATGTAAGCTTGTGAGTTTGAAACCTATATGTAAATTGATGACTTCAAACTCTCTATCTCTAGCTTTTCCCCTAACTTTAGACTCATCTATCTATCTATCTATCTATCTATCTCCTTTTGCCTCTGAGAAATCTTCATCCGGCTGTCCAATTGATACCTCAATCTCAGCATGTTCAAAACCAAACTCATTACCATCTCCTACTTGAAGCTTTCTCTTTCTGTTGTGGTTCTTTTATTTGTTTATTTATTTAATTTATTTTTTCATTTTTCTTTGAGATGGAGTTTTGCTCTTGTTGCCCAGGCCTGAGTGCAGTGGTGCAATCTCAGCTCACTGCCACCTCCGCCTCCCAGGTTCAAGCGATTCTCCTGCCTCAGCCTCCCGAGTAGCTGGGATTACAGGCATGCGCCACCACGCCCAGTTAATTTTTGTATTTTTAGTAGAAGGGAGTTTCACCATGTTGACCAGACTGGTCTCAAACTCCTGACCTCAGGTGATCCACCTGCCTTGGCCTCCCAAAGTGTTGGGATTACAGGCGTGAGCCACTGTGCCCAGCCCTGACTCTTATTAATTTTTTGTTTTTTAGACGGAGTCTCGCTCTGTCGCCTAGGCTGGAGTGCAGTGGCGCGATCTAGGCTCACTACAAGCTCCGCCTCTCGTGTTCACGCCATTTTCCTGCCTCAGCCTGTCCGAGTAGCTGGGACTACAGGCTCCCGCCACCACGCCCGGCTAATTTTTTTGTATTTTTAGTAGAGACGGGGTTTCACCGTGGTCTCGATCTCCTGACCTCGTGATCTGCCCGCCTCAGCCTCCCAAAATGCTGGGATTACAAGCGTGAGCCACTGCGCCCGGCCCCTGATTCTTATTTTTAATGGTATATCTAGGCACAAAATGCTAGGAAGGACTCATTGAGGGAGGAATTTATATTTTCTAACCAATGTAAGGAGCTCAGGAAAAATATCAAATTTGAAATTGAACTTCAAAGTTGAATAAACTTGGAAAGATAAAAATGAGATGGAAGTTGCATGTAAGATGAACAAAACAAAACAAAACAAAACAAAAAACAAAAAACTAGGGATGGGTTGGAGTAAAAGGATTCCCAGCTCTTGGTACATTATTCTCATGTGAGTCCCCCCACCAACATTGAGTGGGGATCACTTGTGAACCTACAGGATATTGCTGAAATAATGAAGTTTGACTTCTGAGGTTCAGTCATAAATGATATTGTGGCTTCTATCCTGTTCTCTTGGACCACTAGCTCTGGAGCCAGCTGCCGTGGTGTATGACCTGCACACAGCTCTATGGAGAAGTCTATGTGTTGAGGAACTGAGGCTTCTAGAAAACAGCCCATGTGAGTGGCCCATTTTAGATGCAGATCATCTATCCCAGGCAAGCCTTCAGATACTTGTAGTCTTGGCCTATGTGTTGATTCCTGACCCAATACAGAACCACCCAGCCAAGCCACTCCTGAATCCCTCATCCACAGAAACCGTGAAATAATAAATGTTTGGGTTTCTAAGCCATTATGTTTTGGGATAATTTATTATATAGTAATAGATAACTAATGCAGAGGGTTTTTCGTTAGATACATTTTTATATGTATTGAGTTTTGGAACCGTATATCTATAGTTTGAACAGTATAACTAAAAGCAACCACAAAGGGAACTCTGAAAATAAAATCCTTTCCTAAATTCTGCATTGATTTCCCATTACAGTCTTATTTAGAATTAAATAAGAATACTTTGCACTTATCTACCCAGTGTCTATGTGATCTGGCCCCTGCTTCCTTCTTCTGTGTCTCCAGCCAGGAGACATTAATGTTGGTTTCCCTTGACTTCCATCAATGGTCTGACATTTCTGAATTCCAGGAATGACAAAGATTATGTACTCGAAGCAAAACTCTAGCTGCACACCATAAAGCAGCTCTTCAGCAAAAGTGATATGGCCTTTATGTTTTTAACCCAGTAGGACACAGACACTCACACACACACACACTCTCTCTCTCTCACACACACACACACACATATACTCTCTTACAGCTTTATAGAGGTAAAAAGTAAACAGTATATATTTAACATATGTACTTTGACAAATTTAAAATGAAATTTGAAACCATCAATATGCTCAAAGGAATGAACACATCTTTTATGCTTAAAAGTTTCCTCCAAGCCCTTTTGTAATCTCTCCTTCCCCCTCACCTCATCCCAAACTAGTTATCTAGACAGATTATAGAATATTTCCATCGTTACAGAAAATTTATTGGAAAGGGCTTATGTAATTCTTGTAAAGAATACCTCATTTTGTTTGATTGTAGCTAATATACCAGTTGTTACAAAGTCAATGAGTATTGGAACTAGTAGTACCTGCGAACACTTCTATCTATTGACAGTTACTGATGACATAACTTTTGAGTTTTAGAGCTCTTTCTGCTGGATCAGCTGAGGTATGTCAAGTTCATACCATTGTGCAGAGTGTGAAATGCCAATAGTAAAGCATCCTCTTCCTCTAGGAAACTAATTAGAGAAGTTAGCTCCAGAGATTAAAAGAAAGATTCATAGTCTTTGATTGAGGTAGAGGAAAAACAAAAAAACCCAAACTTGCTCCTTCCATTTAATTAGCAGATGGAAGTGTGTCCAGAAATTCTTCTGTGTCCTCTGATCCTTTTTTCCTTTTCTTCTTTTCTCTGTTTGATTATTTAGACCAGGGGTTGGTAACTTCCTTATAAATCCCTCAGAGATGAATGGAATTAGGAAAGGTCTCGTCTGGTCTCTTTCACCTTCACTTGGAGTCCTAGAGTGAGAGGAAAATGGGATAATAGAGTCTCTTCCTAGACAATCCCTCAATTGCTTGTTTCTTGTTACAGAAGTTTATTGTTAAAATTACATGTACAGATAAGCTAAAAGAAGAAAGTAAAAATGATGACTATGCTTCTTACATAGAAATAACTGCTTAATATTGTAGTCTAAACTGAATTCTCACTCTCTTTTATAAAAATGAAAATATACTACACATTTTAGTACTTATGTTACTATAAAATAAACATATATTATCAAGTATCTTCTATAGAACAATTTAAAATAACTAGTGGGCTGGGTGTGGTGGCTCATGCCTGTAATTCCAGCACTTTGGGATGCCAAGGCGGGCAGATCACTTGAGCTCAGGAGTTGGAGACCAGCCTGGGCAACATGGTAAAACCCCGTCTCTACCAAAAATATAAAAATTAGCCAGGCATGGTGGCATGTGCCTGTGGTCCCAGCTACTTGGGAGGCAGACTGGGAGATCGCTTGAGCCCAGGAGGTGGAGGTTGCAGTGAGCTGAGATTGTGCCACTGCACTCCTGCCTGGGCAACAGAGAGAGACCCTGTCTCAAACAAACAAAAAACTAATGGAATTGTATACTGTTGTTTAGCTGTGTCAGCTGCTAGATATTCAAAGTCCTTTTTTTCTAGAAGCTTTGATCCTTGATTTTTTTTTAAAGACACATTTATTCAGCATCATGATCAGACTATTACATTTAGCAATCAACAGCATGGGTGCAATAAAAAATGTACATTAAAACTCTTTGTTGGAATGCTTTACACTTTCCACAGAACAGAAGCTAAAATACAATTAGTCACAAACACAGTTCTCGAGTTTTTTGCCCATACACACGAGCCACTGCCTCAGTCAGTGATGATTTCCATCACTTCGATTATTCAAACTGTTCAAAATAAACTTTTAGTTGATGTTCTTCAGTGTCTTCTTTAATGCCACCAACAAATATCTTTTTCACAGTTAAGTGGGCACCGGGTTTTTGAGAATATTCTCTTGAGACCGCTCTCTTTGGTTCCACAACTCTCCCATCCACCTTGTGTGGCTTTGCATTCACGGCTGCCATCTACCTCCTCCACAGTGGCATACGTGACAAACCCAGAGCCCCCGGAGTGCTTGGTGCTTGCATGTCTACTTACCACACAATCTGTGAGCCTTCTCCACTGCTCAGAAGGGCTCCTCAGGCTCTCATCGGTTGTTTCAAAGCTCAGCCCTCCCATGAAGAGCTTCCGCAGCTGTTCCGGCTCTTTAGGACAGGACGGCCCTGGGAAGAGAGACTTTAACGAGGCTTCCTCAGCGGTATCCACGGGCAGAAAGCAGCCCTTGATTTTTTTTTAATAGTCTTGTATTTAAGGACAAATATAGATAAGTAATTCCTAGCAATGTTAGAGTCAAGATTGCCAGTTTACAAAAGGAGGAAAATTAAGTGCCTCTGAAGTTGCTGAAATATTTAGCTGGGAGGGGTGGCACAAGCCAGATACTCGGGAGGCTAAGGTGGGAGGATTGCTTGATCTCAGAGTTTCAGTTCAGCCCGGGCAACATAGAGACATAGTCTCTTAAAAAAAAATATTACTAGTTTAAGATGCATTTTTTTTATTTTGAATTCTGAATGATGTTTACTAACTTGGAATGGATGGAAACCTAATCTGGGGGTGGGAATGTGCCAGCTGTTCAATGATTCAGAAAAATAAGAATGTTGGTTCAGGATCAGAATCAAAGGATGCCGTATTTAATTGAAACTTTGGGAAAATTTATGTAGGCAAAATGAATTATCCAAATTAAAATTAAGCCAAAACGCCAGGTTTAATGCATTAATAATAGAATTTTTTTTTTTTAAAATGAAGCAAAAAACCTAGGTTCTGTTGATTTTGTCACTTACCGTAGGCAGATAATATTTAATGTAGTTTTAGGAACCCTGAGAATAGGAAGAATATTTCTGGATAAATTCCAAAAAAAGAAACACACCAGTGTCTTGTACAAAGGATGAAAGCCTTTATTAGCTTGTAACAAAATACATTGGAGTGCACACTATGTCACCAGGCTGGACTGGCCTATACCTCCTATCCCCTGGAGAAGAAACTGAATGGCTGCAATGTGCTCCGTGTGGCTACTGGACACTTTCTGGTTTACTTGGTTAGTCTTTTTTTTTTTTTTTTT
This sequence comes from Homo sapiens, assembly GCF_000001405.40. Classification (NCBI taxonomy): domain Eukaryota; kingdom Metazoa; phylum Chordata; class Mammalia; order Primates; family Hominidae; genus Homo; species Homo sapiens. The sequence goes on from NC_000004.12 coordinate 112,883,036, forward strand.
TTTTTTTTTTTTTTTTTTTTTGAGATGGAGTTTCACTCTTTTGCCCAGGCTGGAGTGCAGTGGTGCGATCTTGGCTCACTGCAACCTCCGTCTCCCTGGTTCAAGCGATTCTCCTGCCTCAGCCTCCTGAGTAGCTGGGATTATAGGCACCCACCACTACACCTGTCTAATTTTTGTATTTTTAGTAGAGATGAGGTTTTGCCATGTTGGCCAGGCTGGTCTCGAACGCCTGACCTCAAGTGATCCACCCACATTGGCCTCCCAAAGTGCTGGGATTACAGGCATGAGCCACCGCACCCGGCCTGCTTGATCAGTCTTGTTCCAACCTGCGGAGTTGCATGTACAGATAGGTTATGATCATGTGTGCTGCTTTTCATTTGCATTTATGATTATAATTATGCAATTTAATTAAATATTATATGAGCAGATGAAACATATTTGAAAACAAAAGTTATTCTTTCTATGAAAAATGGAATGTTTAGTAAAAACGATAAAAGTGAATCAGGGTGGGCCAGAAAACTGTAACGAGATTAGAAAGAAATTCATCGAAATCTTTAAGGAATCTGTATTCATACTGCCTACATTTAGCTTGACATTTCCCTTGACTTTTTTCCCCTCTCCACTTTAAAAAAGCTAAAATTTGGAATAGACTATCCATTGGAGATGTGGGTTTTGCAAGGAAGAGGACTTAGAACTCCATATTGCAGTCATGCAATCAGAGAAAGGCTGTTGGCCTTTACTCATGAATGAAATGGTAAATAAATACACTTTAAATCAAAGTAAAATGTTTACATTATAAATATATATAAAAATATCATTCATTCATATATATATGTATATATATGTATATATATGTGTATATATATATATAAAATGATTCTCAATTCTTTTTCACCTGGGCCTGATTGCTCTAGATAAGGAATGTGAGCTTATACTATGAATATTTTTAAATAGAGATTTAAACAATTAATAAGGCTTCAGCCAAATTTGGTCTCATAGCACAAATTCCTCTGAGTGACTATGAAAATATGACTTAGATCAATCAATACTTTTGATAAGTAATTATGAGAAACTTGAGATTGTGATAAAAGATTTTCAAATAAGTGATAGATGACAAAATAAATTTGTATCTTTAAAATTTTTCTGTAGTTTTGTTATCCCCAAAATGAAACAAACTGGCCTACATTGATTTAAATTATTCTACTTTTTGGCCTGTGGGTAATAGAATAGATCAGGAGTTTGATTATTTAGAGTAGGCGACTTTTTTGGTAAAGGGCTAGGTAGGAAATATTTTTGGTTTTGTGGATCTTGTGGTTGTTACTCAACTGTGCTCTTGTAGCTAAAGCACCCATAGACAATATGCAAACAAATCAGAATGGTTGTGTTCCAATAAAACTTTTTTATGGGTGTTAAAATTTGAATTTCATATCATTTTCATATGTCATGAAATATTATCCTCCTTTAGTTTTTTTTTCAGACATTAAAAAGTATAAAATCCATTCTTAGCTCATAGTCTGTCCTCTGTCCAAAAATATGTGGAAGGCTGCACTTGGCCTGCTGACCATTGTTTCTCTCCCCTGCTCTAGCCTCATTCTAGCTCTCCAGCACTGCCTTTCTCACGACCCTATAATCTAGCTGCTTTTAGTGTCACAGAAACACAGTGTGTTCACATTTGCTTACATATATTTTGCTTATATTTTTTCCTGCTGGGAACACTTTCTGTTCTGTTTTCTAATCCAAAAATCAGCTTAATGTTTCTGTCTTTCATGATAATTTTCACAGCTTCACTAGCCCTCAGGTGTGTCCCTCACCTCCAAATTCCCTTTAGCACCTTTGATCTTTTTTCATATGATTAGTGTGAATTCGTCTTTTATTATTTCAGATATGTGAGCTTTGATTCTTCTTTTGATTATAACTTATTAGAACAGAAGCCATGTATTATACTTCCTCTTATTTCTCTCAGCATAGCGCTGGGCACATAGAAGTATTAACACTAGATTGACATGTTTGCTATCAAAATACAATATATATTATTCTTTTATTAAGTTTTAAAGCATTTTTATGTGGGTTTTTGGTCTCAATACTTGCCCTTTTTTTCTCTGTCTTCACTTAATCTTTCCCCACTGACTTCCTTCCCTGTCCGTAATCACGCTCAACTCTTTATTTAAAAATTAAATAAGCAGGGCCGGGCGTGGTGGTTCACGCCTGTAATCCCAGCACTTTGGGAGGCTGAGGCGGGTGGATCACGAGGTCAGGAGTTCGAGACCAGCCTGGCCAACATGTTGAAACCCTGTCTCTACTAAAAATATAAAAATTAGCTGGGTGTGGAGGCACGCGCCTGTAATCCCAGTTACTCGGGAGGCTGAGGCAGGAGAATCGCTTGAACCCGGGAAGCCGAGGTTGCAGTGAGCCGAGATCATGCCATTGCACTCCATCCTGGGCAACAGGGCAAGACTCCATCAAAAAAAAAAAAAAAATTAGCCGGGCATGGTGGCTCACGCCTGTAATCCCAGCACTTTGGGAGGCGGAGGTGGGCAGATCACGAGGTCAGGAGATTGACACCATCCTGGCTAACATGGTGAAACCCCGTCTCTGCTAAAAATACAAAAAAATTAGCCGGGCGTGGTGGCGGGCACCTGTAGTCCCAGCTACTCGGAAGGCTGTGGGAGGAGAATGGCGTGAACCTGGGAGACAGAGCTTGCAGTGAGCCCAGATCGCACCACTGCACTCCAGCCTGGGGGACAGAGCAAGACTCTGTCTCAAAAAAAAAAAAAAAAAAAAAAAAAAAAATTAAATAAGCAGCGCAACCTTCCATTGACATTGATACTCATCTATTCCTTACCAAGTTTTTCTCTGAGATGGTATTTTTTGAACATCTAAAAGGAAGATATATACATGAGGTAAGCCCTTGCTTCTGTCTGGGAACAGTTTTCTGCCCTGGCACATGGAAGTGGAGCCTCTGCAGAGCTCAGTCTCACTGGGCTGGCTGAGGAGGCAGGGATTAGAGTTTGAGTATGCTGAGGCAGCTGGAATTTGCAAGGCGGGTCTTTAGAGAGGATGGCAGTCACAGAAGTCTGTCTGGGGACTTGCTGCTCAACATCATTTGCCAAAAGCTGATCTGCACGTGTATAGGTCAAGACTCCATGAGGCCTAGGAGAAATTGCCAGCAGCAGGGCTGAGGGCTGAATGGTGATACAGAGGTTTTACTGTGCTGGGAGATGTTCAAGTTCTGGCTCAGCTAGAATATAAATACCACATTAGGTACCTTAAGTGTTCTGTTGAGACACCAAAAAGGCCGCACTCCAGAGTAAGCTATGCCCTAAGTCTAAGTTCAAGACAAATAGACTGGGTGGGTGTGGTGGCTCACTCCTGTAATCCCAGGACTTAGGGAGGCCGAGGCGGGCAGATCACGAGGTCAGGAGTTCGAGACCAGCCTGACCAACATGGTGAAACTCGTCTCTATTAAAAATACAAAAATCAGCTCGGTGTGGTGGCGCGCGCCTGTAATTCCAGCTACTCAGGAAGCTGAGGCAGGAGAATCGCTTGAACCTGGGAAGTGGAAGTTGCAGTGAGCCAAGATAGCGCCACTGCACTCCAGCTTGGGCGACAGAGCGAGACTCTGTCTCAAAACAAACAAACAAACAGACAAAAAACAAATAGACTTTCCCTAAAAAAGAATGTAAAATTGATCCGGATGGAGCCAAAGTGATCTACCAATAATTTAACTGCCTTCCAGAAAAAAAGCTCAACACACTTTAAAGGAAGACCACATAGTCCAGAATCTCTACCATGTTCACCATATGATAAAAAAAATTACTAATCATGTGAAGAAGTGGAATGAGACCTACAATCACAAAAAAATGCAGTCAATAGAAACAGAAACTGAGATGACCTAGATGTTGCCATCCCACAGAAACCTGTAATGCGTTCTCCCAATTTTTTGCTAATATTTAACACATTCGTCAAGATCTTATTCAAATGGTAGGTTTTTTTCAAGAGGCTTCCCTGAATTCCTCCAATATGAAATAATTTATTTCTCTTTTGACTTCTCACTGGTTTATGTCTCTCCTGTGATACCTAATTATATTATAGTCATCTGCGTACTTATTTTCTTTCCTTGGCTGAGGCCAAGGATTTGTATTTTCTCATCTTTTTAGTTACTGATGTATTTAGCCACCAAAGTCATGTACAGATGGTCCCCAACTTACAATGCTTTGACTTACAATTTTTCAACTTTACAATGATGTGAAAGCTAGACGGATTCAGTAGAAAACTACTTCAAATTTTAAATTTTGATGTTTCCCCAACTGTAGGCTAATGTAAGTGTTCTGAGTTCTGAGCACGTTTGAGATTGGCAAGGCTAAGCTACGCTGTTTGGTAGGTTAGGTGTATTAAGTGCATTTTTGACTTATGGTACTTTCAGTTTATGATGTGTTTATCAGCACATAGTTTCATTGTAACTTGAGGAGCATCTGTAGTAAGCACTCAATAATTATTTTTGAATATATGAATAAAAGATATGTGTTTCATATTTCCCTGTTGTTTTAAAACCATATACACTCTTCAATTTTTGTATTTACTCATGTGCAGATAGGTATGAGTGAAAAATCCATCTTAATGTTAGTTTAAATTATGAGTTTTCATAGAGGTTTCCATGAATTAGCAGACTAAAGAGATTGGTCTTCTTTCCTGTTGTACAAATAAAAAAAAAAGCAGTTGGTTATTGTTTTTATTCCAGAATATTAAATATAAATTTATTTGTGTCTATCTTCACTAGACTGTAAGGTCCATGAGGCCAGAGACATGGTTTAATATCCCCAGTATTTTCCATTCTTGACACATAGTAAATACTTAATAAGTACTTATTAAATGTCTTACATTGACTGGTATTTGGCCAAGTTTTGATAAATATTTTACCATTTCATGATAATTTATTTTAAGCCATTTTGAGTGTTTCAAGAAAAGCCTGCAGAGTTTTAAAATAATTTTTCTCAGATATCATAGCTGTACTATAAGGCCTATTAATTATATTTTAACAAAAGCTAGATAGGTAGTGTTTTCCTTTACTTGTTAATTTTTTAAAGATGGTTTTAGCTGTTCATTTTATTGCTATTTATATATATCATATTGACAGTATTTATAAGCTTTCTTTGACAACAATTCATAAGTTAAAAAAAGTCAGTTTGTGGAGGCTTGTCTAGCTATATAGAAAGTGGAAATGGTTAATAGAATGTTTAATGTCATCATATTTCAAAGTTAGAGATTATCTAATCACTATACCCTATGAAAAATGACTTCTAGAAAGTTAAAGTGAGCTGTTCACAAAGTCAGAACACGCTCATATTTTGTATAACTACTACAACCTTTTAAAAACAAAAATATATGAGGAAGATATTTTTTGTATTCTGAAAATAACAAGGGTTTGCATATTAAGATATAATCAATATGAAAACATCTCTACTTCTGGCAAGTTTTAACATGGTAAAGAGCTTGAAACAGCTCTGAATTTTTTTTTTTGAAAATTTTTAATTTTGATATTTTCTTTTGACTCTACATAGAGAGAGTCATGTCCGTTTTATAACCTTCCACTCTCCCCCTGTCTACCCCAAAAGAAACAACCTAGCAATGCTCAAAATGACAAATCCAGCCTTTGTTTCACCAGATTATTTCAATCTGGCACTGGCACTACCACTAGCTTGGTCTGATTATAGTTAATCCACTGCCTACAACATGACAAATGTTTTTGGTCCAAGTTGAATGGCGAAGTCTTTTCAAACAGGGAAAGCAGTTGTCAGCTGTCCTTGTTGTGGTACCAACATGTATCATGTCAGGACAGCCAAACAAAGAAGAGGATGATTCAGAATGCTGACCCGAGTACACAGAACCTTGTTAACTCTGGTGGGTTTTCTGCAAGGCTTGTTAATAGTGATAGAAAAAAGAAATCATAGCACAAACCCCATATTATATTGGTTGCCTTAGACTGTATACACTTATCAACTAATATCAAATGCAATTACAAAACTGTGAATTATAATTTCTAGTTTCTCTATAAATGACACATTTCTCCTTAAAAATCTCAATTTATTTAAGATTTTCTTAAACATTTCTCCTCTAGTTTGTTAAGCTTGTTTAGTAGAAACAATACCACTTACAGTACTTGAATTTTATGAGTGCTATAGCTGTTGGGGTCACTCATTCAAAAAAAAAAAAACAAAACCTTAAATTCTCTTGGTGTGCTTACCATTCATCTTTTCTTTTATGGGAGATATTGCCCTTTTTTCTCTTTGGGGTGAGTGATGCATGATGTTGTTTCTGCAATGGGCAGAATACTATAGACTATTATATACACTTATGGATGTATGCTCTACATGGCCTATGCTCATCCTTCTGACTACAAGCTAGCTCATTAATTCTGCAGAGAGGTATACTCCATAGACAAGAATAAACATTTTCTCCACTTTATTTTAGATGACTCACTTTTTTTGATGCTTTTTTAAAAATTTAGATTTTTCTATTTTTTTCCTTGTTCTTTTTTTTTTGACTGGGTTCCTAATTATTTTCTTAAAAAATGTGAATTATTTCTACTTTACAAATTAATGTGAGAAATGAAAGTAAAACATGATACTTTCTTTATTAGTAAAGCATGTCATGATCCAATAGGTTTGTGTTGTAATTTCTCCTTGAAAAGAACTGAGTTTATGGTCTTTACTTCACATCCCAGCTGTTCGAGAATTGCTAAATCCATAGGGAGTTGCGTGAGTTATGTAATTGGCATGAATTATTTGAGTTTGAGGAAACACAATTACCACATAATGTTAGCCAGTGCTGGATGAATCTAAATTCAAGGACTCAGGGTTGCAGAGGTCTGTGGGACCGTGATGTTTTCTTTGTTGAGTGCAGTTGTAAATTTATTTCTTCTTTTTATAGCTTGTAAGTAAAAAATACATCATTCTTCAGCATTTTGCCTCATTAATGTCTAGCAAAGACATGCTATGAGGAGAGACTACTTAAACAAAAGATGAAGTAAACAATTAAACAGGCTTAGGGAATGTGAAACTAATAATGTTGGGGCTTATAACATTCAGACCCCTCCATTCTCTTTCACCTCTTTTTCTTCCTTTAAAAACACTGTGAGGAGGTACGAACATAACATTTCTTGCCAAATATTTTTGTTCTTTCACAGTGGGAGAAAGAGAAAGAGAAAGAGCTTTCTTTATGTACTTTGCTGCTCTGAGATTTCCTTTCCTGTTCCCTCAAGATGAGCCTTGAAACTTGGCTCCTCAGTCTTTGAAGTACCAGATTCTAGAATAAAATTAAATAGTATTCAAGAGCATGGTGTGGTTCTGCTACTTGAACCTACATGTTAGGCCACCTACAACGATCAGATATTTGGGCTGTAGAATATTACATGTCCTTCAAAGAATGCATTCTGAAATGGATTTGTTTTCCTACATAATTCCCAATGCAATAACTCTGAAGAATAAAGTTTGTAGCAGGAATTTATGATATACATTTCTGTGGTTTTTTTTTTTTTTTTTTTTTTTTTTTTGAGACGGAGTTTCGCTCTTATTGCCCAGGCTGGAGTGCAATGGCATGATCTCAGCTCACCGCAACCTCCGCCTCCCAGGTTCAAGCTATTCTCCTGCCTCAGCCTCCCTAGTAGCTGGGATTACAGGCATGTGCCACCATGCCAGGCTAATTTTGTATTTTTAGTAGAGACAGGGTTTTTCCATGTTGGTCAGGCTGGTCTCGAACTCCTGACCTCAGGTGATCTGCCTGCCTCAGCCTCCCAAAATGCTGGGATTACAGGCGTGAGCCACTACGCCCGGCCTGTGATACACATTTCTATTGGCTCTGCAATGTTAGGTGCTATCCAAAGACTTTTTAATCCTTCTAAGAACTCCTTTTCATTTACAGTAGAAAAATGATGTAGTGTGCAGGCCAAGGGAAACTGTGTTCCAAAGAATAACTAATCATCTATCTTTTTGACAGTTTTTTATGTTCCAGGTGTAAAGTTACTGTTCCAGGTATTTTCCTGTGTAATGTCATTTACTTTTCACCACAACACTGGATTTGGTGTTTTAAACTCTATTTAATAGATGAGATTGAGACTCAGAGGTTTTGTGACTTGCCTCGTGCCACGTAACTAGCAGTAGCAGATCCTGTACTTAAATCAAGATTCATGACTCCTCATCTTCCTTTTTTGTTCTTCCTTCCCATGCTTCCTTTGTGTCCCAGTGAATGCATGATAGAATTTGTTTATCTGCTTACAATAAAATCTACAAAATTAATAATCTTGTGCTATTTTCTATTCCAGCCATGTCAAGTTATCAATTATTTTTTTTATTGGAGACAGGGTGACAATATAATTTATTTTTCAAAACAGGATACTTTTGAGAGTTAAAAGGAGTGCTATTAATTATGCACGGAGAAAGCAAGCTTATATCAAAATTATCCAAGGCAAACTAGAATCTATAAATGCCCTCATTATTTAAAAAGCTAGAGGTAATATGGCTTAGTAGTTAGAAGTAGCAGCTCTGGAGGCAGAGCTAAGTTCAAATCCTGATTCTACTATTTACTAGCCATCTTATATTTGTCAAACTGCCTCACCACTATGCCTCAGTTTCCCTGTATATAAAATAAAAATAATATTATTAATACCATTTAATTGTATTTTAAATGAGGTTATACATGCATAGCATTAGGAAAGAGGAAACCCTTGATAAGTATTGTCTATTATTACGCATGGAGAAAGAGTGATTTCTGTCATTATGCTTTGAGTGGTATCAAAAGACTTGCCTGAAGATAAATACAGCTTCATTTCTATAGTCAGTCCTTAGAATTAAAGCATAGTTTTCTGAAAGCGTTACCTAATAAGTTCTCAATAAATATTTACTAAAGGAATGAATGAATAAGTTATCCCAGAGGAATAAAATGTGCTAGCATCCATGGTTACAAGGATAATTTGTATTTCAAAAAAGACATAAAAGTATAGTGGTGGGCTAGGTAAGTTTTGATGATAGCAGTGGGTGGGTGGGAATTGGGGTAGGAGAAATATTTAGCACCTGATGATCCTGGGAGGGCTGATTCAGATGGGATATGGGAGTTCTAGGTGGCTCTGGGCCAGTGAAACAGTTCTGGATTCCAGGGGGAAGGAAGGGATGGAAATGGAAGAGGCCATTACACAAATGCTATCTACACAAAAATTTTATTGGTGTTATGTGCTAGAAAAGGGGAAATAGCCCTGTCATGCCAGGAACATTTGCCCTTGGAATTAGACTAACTTTATTAAGCTTGGGTAAGTCCCCTGGGCAAGCAGCCCCAGCTATTTCATTGGTAAATTATACATACATCTACCTTATAGGGCTGTTGTGAGGATTAGAATGAAGTAAGTGTCTGCATGTGTGTGTATGCATGTATATAACATCCTGCTTATTATAGAAACTCAACAAATGATAGCTTCTATAATTATTAAGGATCGTAACAATTACCCAACTCAAATTTTGAAGAATTTTGAAGTAAAGTGTTTGAAAGCTCTTTATGAATATAAAGTACTTTACAAAGATATGGACTTGCTATGAATGCTGACATTGTCCTGTTTACCAGCTCTAGACCTTGGATGTACTGCTATTAGAAAATAGCGTGTTTCATATTCACATGGTCAGAGTTGTAAAGATTCAGAATCAGTGAGACTGATATGCATGCTAAGGGTATTGAAGTGAAACTTTAAGGCATAATTGTTCTTTTTGTTCTTGTTATTAGTTTATCCTTTTTGAATTCTGAGATCATAGGATATGGGATATTAGTTTGATGTCTGCAAAACCAATCGAACTCCAAGTATTTTGCTTCTTAAGCTGTTGCTTTTAGGATGGCCTTTAGGATGCGTAGTGGGTAAATCTTCATTCATTTGCACATTCTAAAAATATATTTTTATAAGTCTTTTATATCCCCCAAATGGTTATTTCAACTATATTTCAGATAAATAGGTTTCTAAAGTTGCTTTTATGTTCTCTTAAGAACTCATTCTGATATTCTAGCTCCAATCTTATAAACAATCCTGGAAATGTTAACTTCAATTTTCTCAGATGCAAAACGAAGATAACACTACTTTATGTGGTTATTGACTAGATTAATATGATAAAGCATATAAAGTATTTGGGAAAGTGCATTATACCTATAAGTGTGAATATTATTATTATTCCCAACTTCCCAAACCCAAGAGATCCTCTCACCTCAGCATCCCAAGTAGGCTGGGACCACAGGTGCATGCCACCACACCTGGTTAATTTTTTAAAAAAATATTTTTTCCTAAAGATGAGGTTTCCCTATGTTTCCTAGGCTGGTCTCAACCTCCTGAGCTCAAGCAATCCTCCTACCGCAGCCTCTCAAAGTGCTGGAATTACAGGTGTGAGCCACCACACCCAGCTAGCACCTTAAATCTTAATTTGCTAATATAATTGTGGTTTTTGACATTACTTTTAATGGCAAAACTGCGACTATTTTTGCACCAACCTAATATAAACAACTTCAGGACACACTGTCATAATAATGACCATTTATCAACCTCTGCATGTTGTATACATTCTCTATTCCATAATGGTCTTGCAAGATTCTTCTCCCCTTTTTAGAGATGGGGGAAACCTCCACAGAGATATAGTTACTTACTCAAGGTCATGCAGGCCAGGTGCAGTGGCTCACACCTGTAATCCCAGCTCTTTGGGAGCTGAGGCGGGCAGATCACTTAAGGTCAGGAGTTTGAGACCAACCTGGCCAACAAGGCAAAACTCTGTCTCTACTAAAAACACAAAAAAGTTTGCCCAGCATGGCGGCATGCACCTGTAGTCCCAGCTACTGGGGAGGCTGAGGCACGAGAATTGCTTGAACCCAGGAGACGGAGGATACAGTGAGCCAAGATGGTGCCACTGCACTCCAGCCTGGGCAACGGAGCAACACTCCGTTTCAAAAAACAAAACAAAACAAAAGGTCATACAGACAGGAAACGGGAAAATGAAGCTGCAAACACAAGCTTGCTGACCCTTGCCCTTGTGCAGTTTCCACAGTACCACATCAATTCTTCATCTTTAAACTCTGTGATGTCCCATTTCAAAATGCCCTAGTTGGCTTCTTTTAAAAAAAAAAATCAAATTCTCTCATTTCTTGAGCACTTACTATGGGCTAGGCATGTAATAGGCCCTGTGATATGGAAGTGAATACAAGCCTGGCTTCCTGTCCTTGAGAAATTCAGTCTAGTGGAGAAGGAGAGCTCCATTCATTTATATAAATAGAAGGAATCTCTAGTTTTTTCTTTTTAAGGAGATTAAAATTATTGATTGACATAAAATTTTTGTATTTGGTGTTACATACGGATATGTAGTATACATACATATATATTATTTTTATAATTTGAAAACTTTCAAACTTCAAATTATGAAAGTACAAATGAATGCTGATTATGTTGCTGTTCTATGTAAGAGTTGACGATAATGGAAGGTTGTAGATTTAGTAACACATTATTATGAGGAACTAAACATTTATCTGGGTGTGCTGTAGAATGTTCCACAATTTCCTAAAAGCTGGGTCTAGAAAACACGGTAAAATGCAAATACTCGAAGATCCATGAATCCATGTCATTTTTTATTGGGAGCATGGTGTTATTTGTATTGTCACTCCTAGAACTCACTGCTCCACTTTTTCCACCATCCCCTGGCTATTTCAGCTTGATTTTATAGGAGCAGAAACAAGAGGGAAGTTTGTTATATTTTAGCTATGATTTCTTTGAGTCACATCAATGAAACATGCTTTAGAACAGCAGAGCTCATAGATATGACAGGGTTGCAAGATCTGAAAGCCAGATTTGATGTACAGTATTTCTTTTTTTCCCCCACAGTCTTTGACTATAACTAATAAGTGGTAAAATTCCCAGTAATTTGCCAAATGCCTGACAGGGTTAATGAACTGGTGACATCAGGATGCTGGTGCATTAGACACATTTTGTGCAGAAGTTTTGTAAAGCCTCTCCTGATGGAGATGCTTAGAGATGAAGCACCAATGTGCTGGTAAATGGCCTAAGGGTAACTTAGTTATCCTAAATAGTCTTAAACATATTTTCCTAATGGAAAATTCTTAATGGAAATTTTTGTTGTGGTAAGCATTGAACCACTTAGAGTTGTTGCTCTCATATTCCATTTGTCTGAAAACTACAGATGGCACCAAAAAACCAGACATATTAGCCTAATACCACAGTGGATGACATCAATATAGTACTTAGGGAGAACTTGATACACTCACCATAAAGCCTTTTAATCGTCCCTTTCATAGACTTGGGTAGGCAAGCCTATTTCCAATTTAAAAGAAAAAATAATCATTCAGAGCAGGATTTGCAAAAGGAATTTTCATTCATTAGTGACCATCAGGATTATTTTCCCCACCAATTTTACAATCTTTTAGGTGCTGAACGCCATGGATTTCTCCTCAGAGTGGCAGAAATTTATCATTATCTGTTCTCTGGGGAGTTAAATAGATTTTTTTTAATGCTCCACTGAGGCCACAATTTTGCTATTATGCTCAGATAGCCCCAGAGCTTGCAGATGCTGGCACTTCTGTCTTTTTTTCAGATGAGTGATACAATCATGCCAAGAAGCCAAAGGAACACTTTTAATTCATAAGCAACTTCATTACATAGTTTGGTTACATTGAAAGTCTGCCTAACATCCCACAAAATCTGTCCTCAAACCACAGAGTTTATTTTCCTGAGTATTTATAAATTCCAAAATCAAAATCAGAACAAAAGCAGCTCAAAAATAGTGTTCTTGGTTGACAGTAATGTCAGAAAACTGGTCAACTCTGAGAGTATGTGTCAAAGCGAGAGCATTCAAACTGTCTGTGATTCAGCGTTGCTGCATTGTGGCCTCTACATTGCCCCAATTGTGTTGCATTTGTGAGTCAAACTCATTTTGCCTCAGCATGCTGCATAATGAAAGCATTTGTTCTCATTCTCTCACCACCCGCCACCCTACTGCTTCAGTTCCAGGCCATTACACCCAAAGTCTCTGACAGAGAAAAAGGAGCTCACTTTAGAAGACTTGGAAGGGTCAGCAGGATTGCTGGACTTGGAGCAAAGCTCTGACTTAATTTATGTCCATTGGTTATTTAGAGAGAGCTTAGCTGTTTGTACTTTGTTTTCCAGCCATAGGAGGAAGGAGCTACAGCATATGTCTTCAAAAGCTGTTTCTTTTGCCATGTGTGATATAGACTATGGGCTATAGGTTCTGTTTAGAGCATAGTCGTTCATTCATCAGGGGCAAATTCTCAAGTGTAAACATGAATTACTCCTACCTTCAGTCTGTTGTTAAGCCCTTTGCTTTATTTAAGCAAGTAACAATTCTGAGAGGTAAAATCTGTGCACTGGAAACAAAATAGAAACCATTTTTACCAGAACAAAAAGAGAAGGGAGAAAAAAAGGATTGAGGAATGCAGCATAAAACTTCTCAGCTTATTGAGATTTCCTTTTCCTTGTAGAAAAGACAGATAAATGTGTGAGTGCTGGTAATGCTTTTCTCAAGTAAAGAAAGACACCTTTGATGTCGCATTCCTGACCTCAGATGCTAAGGAACGAGGTTAAAGAGCTTTTGGTCAAGTTTTTACTGCTGCTATGTGGCTGGTTTGGATAAACACTGTAAATGCCAGGCTCAAACTGCCTGTTTTTTTAGCTGTCATTTCTGCTGTCACCAACCTGAGAACTTCAGGGCTTCTCCCTTTATTCAGCCTTGGAACCACGGCCACAGTCACTTACTTACCTGCTCCTTCCAGTGAGCCACCACCCTCATAGTGAAGCTGTTCTTTAAAGACCAAACCACTTAGCTCCAGCGTGAGGATGCTCAACATATGAACTACATACAGATACGCCAATAAAGTGAAGCCTCTGTATGAAAGGGGACGATAACTCCTCAATCATGAATTCTTTTCTTCCATTTTCCTTGTCCGGCGCACTCTCCCCTCTGCTTCTTTTCCAGCTGGTGATCTGACAAGTCATATTTCTCTTACAGCCGAGGTTAGAGAAGCTCTTTCTCTGAGCTTCTCTGATAACTGTTCACTGAGGAAGTGGCCAATTCTTTAAATTTTCATTCAGGCAAAACTAAAACCATGGCTCTCTTCAAACACCTTGCATAGCTATAGCTTCTGGTCCCCCATGACAGAAGTTGTTTCTCTCTCCTGGGTTTTCCTGGGAGCCTGGGGTTCTTTGACCCAGTCTGCCAATATTCCCTTTCTTTGTTCAATGCCTTTTGTTCATGTCTTCATCCTTGTTACTTTTTTCATTTTCCCCTTCTCCACAATAGGAGTTCAAATGGAAAACATCATCTGTCTCAAGCAAAAGTTATTTGCATACATGGTTATAAAGAAAAGCAACTGATTTTCTTTAACCTCTCAGGATCAGCCTCTTTATTTTTTACATTTCATAAGAGTGGTAAGAGGATTGCCGATCAGAAATTAGTTGGCCATTAAAATTTCCTCATCTGTGAAAATGAAGGGATTAAAACAGATAATCTTTTAAGGATCTTTCTAGCCCTAAAAATATCCATGGCACTGATGATGTTTTGTCTTTTTATGGGGGAGGCCAGATGGATGCTCAGCTCTCCATGCTGTGCATCTGCTTGGTGAGTGGCTTGAACATCTGTTTGGGACCTGTAATACCAAGGCATTGCAATTCCCCTTGCTCACCGTTTCAGCTAGCAGCGGCAGAATGCCTCTCCAGAAGGTGTCAGCACTCTTGTCTCTGGAAGAGCTTTTTATTCCCATTATTTCCAAGAATAATAAGAACTAGTTTCCTGTATATTTCCTTTTTGAGGCTGGGAGATCTATTTTGTGGTAGTGAAGAAAATATGCATATTCTTCTCAAATATCTCAAAAAAACCAGGTTTACTATCAAATCAATATTAATTTATAGAACATAAACTATAGATCAAACAGGTGAGAAAATATTTTGACATTTTATCAAAGGAGAAGCCAACCATCTTTATCAATAGACTTTATTTTTTAGAACATTGTACGTTTATAGAAAAATTGAGCAAATAGTACAGAGTTCTGGGATTATCCTCTCCCCTTAATTTCTTCTATTATTAACATTTTATATTAGCATGGCATATTTATTGCAATTAATAATAAATTATTATTAAATAAAGTTATCGTGTTATTATTAACTAAAGTCCATAGTTTATTGAGATTTTTAAAGTTTTTAACCAAATGCCCCTTTTCTCTTCTAGGATACCAAATTTATATAGTCGTGTCTTATTAGTCTCCTCTTGGCTGTAACAGCTTCATGGGCTTTCTTTGTTTTTTATGCTCTTGACAATTTTGAGGAGTACTGGTTAAGTATATTGTGGGATATCCCTTTATTGAAATGTGTCTGATGATTTTCTCATAATTAGACTGGATTACATGTTTTGATCACAGAATAAAGTGCCATTTTCATCACGTTATATCAAGAGTAGCACTGTGAACATGACAGTGCTGTTGATGTGAACTCTGGTCACTTGGCTGACAGTGTTTATATGATTTCTCCACTGAAGCCAACCATTTTTAAACCAGTGTTGACTATTCCTTCAAATAAAAATTCTAGATTCCATATTTGGAAATTAATTTAAAATTAACTTGAGAAAAGACCTTGAAAATAATAAAAACAAATGAAAGAGTTCATTTTCTTCTTTCTCCTGTCTAATGAACATAGACGTAAATAACTAAGCTCATGGCTTACTCAGACCTTTTTCCAAGAGAAAGAATTTTTTTGTAGTTGACACAGCAGGAGATAAAAGGGGAGGAAGCAGAGGATGGTATTTTTCTCTGGGATGTGTCAGCTCCATGAAGAAATTGCTGCCCTACAGACACTGATCCACGACTGTCAGTTCAGATATTTCATTCTGGCTGAGAGGCAGTGAAAGAAATGACCACCGAGGAGGGTATTTCCAGCATTTCTAACACCTCACTTAGGGAAGGGAAAGGCATTACCTAAGCCTTGTGTGCTGCTTTCTAGCTCAACTCTAACCAAGTTGATGGGGGCTGTGAAGCCTTTCCTGTGGGTGTAGTCTCATTGTTTTTATTTAACAATGAGTGAAAGCAATAGTACAAAGACTTGAATATCTTTATGCATATTTTAATAATAATGAAAGTTAGGAAAGTAACTTCTTTAACAGAATACAGATGTGACATTAGTAATTAGGATTCCAAATACCACATATTGGAGTTAAGAAAAAAGGAGTTCCCTTTCAATTAAACTGATTGCTTAAATTTGTGTATTTACATATTTTCTTAGTGACATCCAAAATAATTTTAAACTATTTATAATTTTCTCATTTTGTTAGTTGTTATTTACATTATTACTAAGATGAACATGCATATACAATTTCTTCTTTTTTCTCCCTCTGGCCCCATAAAAACCCAATTTTCTTAGCCATTAGCATTGATGAGAGGATTCTAAACTAGATTTTCTCTGTAGGATTGGGTACAACGTAGGCACCTAACAGAATGAACTATTTTATGAATAGTAGAAATAAGTTATAAGTAGTATGAGAATTATATTACTTCTTCTGCATTTCTAATATCCATCACATCTTCAGTTTTAGTGGTAGTGTCTTAGTTCCCATCTTCATTTTCTCTGCTTTTCATCAATCCATCCCTGTAGCCAGAGCAAATTTTCAAATATTAAACTTAATCAAATCCTTTGTCCATATCTGCACACCATGATGACTCTGGATTGCTGTCATTAGTTTTCCATCCTGCATCCCCTATATGATTATAAGATCTGTGAGTGCAGGAACAGTGTCTCATTCACCTTTGAACAACCCCCTGCACACTGTAGACTCAAAAACCACAGGCTGAATGAATGAATGAATGAATGATATAGCTATTTTGGGAGGTCATCTCTCCATATAGACCAAAATTTTGGTGTTGTTTTTGTATTACTGGCCACATTTCATGAGGCTCTTAAAAAAGTCTTCTGTGGAAATTTTCAAATATGGACCAAAGTAAGGAGAATAATATAAGGTGTCTCATGTATCCACTTAGCTTCAAAAATCGTCATCATTTTACTAATTTTGTTCCATCTGTCTTCCACCCCACATTTTTTTGGTTTCATTTTTCTGGAGCATTTTAAAGTGAACACCAGACATTATGTCATTTTACCTGTGAATGTTTTATTATGCTCTAACTAGTAAGACATTTAAAAAAACCATATCCACCATGCCATTATTACCCCTCTTTAAGATAGTTTAATATCAAATATCTAATATCCTTATCTCCCTGATTGTCTCCTATCTCAAACCTGCCTTTTTTTCTCAATTGGTTTGTTCAGATCAGGATCCGAACATGGTCTGTACATTGCTTTCGGTTATGGTGAAGCATTATTTAACCTTCACATATAGGGGAGTGTGATTTATGTCAAAGATGGTAAGTGATGATCTGCATAAAGAATGTATTTCTTGATAGACACGGGGGACTTCAAAAGCCGGGGAAAGGGAAAAAGGGAGATAGGTTAAAATTTATCTATTGGGTACAATGTTCACTATTTGAACTTACCTTGAGAAATCCTGCTTTGTATATTTGCTTAAGCCAATATTAACCCAACTTAACACTTTCCTTCAAGTCTCCCTCTTTCCATCTTTCTCCTTCCCCCCAATTTCCATTTCTATTCTGTCCTCTTAATTATGTCAAAACTCAGCTTAAGTTTCATCACCTCTGTGAAGATTACCCTCCACCAAGCCCTTTAATGCCTGACCCAGCAATATGCCATTTAGTTTACATTGCCTTGATTTATAAAAGCAACTATGTGTAAGACCAAGGCTTTATGAAGCAGGAAAACCTAGATTTGGTTTTCATTCCTGCCATTGAGCAATATGGTGTTGGACAAGAGCCTCACTTTCCTTGTCTACAGAATGTGGATAATAGGAGGGTTTTCATGAGGTTGTTTTGAATACCAGTTGAGATAATGTATGTAGTCAATATAATTTTTGGTACTTGGGAACACACTATAAGTTATAAGTTTTTATTATTAACTTTTTTGGTTTAATTATGTCATCTCCAACTACATTGGAAGGCACCTATATAATGCCTTATACACTGTTAGCACTTCATACCTTTTTGTAGGGAGTCATTTTTTTGGGGTATTAGAGTGACCACTTTTAGCCCCTGGGATTTCAACAGCCATCTAACTATTCATCCAATTATTCAGATATGGGTTTTTAGTAGTTGTGATTGGATAACTATAAGGTATAAATGCAAGCATACGTTCCAGAAAATGGCCAGAATGTGAGGGAAAGCAACTGTATCTATTATTTAGTATTTTAGTGCTTGTTAAAGTTAGGAGAAAAAAATACTAGGTTAAAATTAGTGAGTCTTCATCTTTATAGGAAGTTTTTAAATAAAGTTTAGGGAGGAAAGAGATGCTGATAAGCTGATGCTGAAAGTATCTGTCTAGTTAATTTTTTGTTACAAATGGTTTTCAGTGTTGTTTCTTTGCAACCTCAAAACAAAATCCCTGCCTTAAAAGAAGAAAAAGCCCAGCCATGGTGGCTCTGCCTGTAATCCCAGCATTTTGGGAGGCTGAGGCAGGCGGACCATGAGGTCAGGAGTTCGAGACCAGCCTGACCAACATGGTGAAACCCCGTCTCTACTAAAAATACAAAAATTAGCCGGGCACGGTGGCACGTGCCTGTAATCCCAGCTACTCAGGAAGGAGGCTGAGGCAGGAGAATCGCTTAAACCCAGGAGGCAGAGGTTGCAGTGAGCCAAGATCATGCCACTGCACTCCAGCCTGGGCGACAGAGTGAGACTCTGTCTCAAAAAAAAAAAAAAGGAAGAAGAAGAAAAAGAGATGTAATATATTTCACCATGGAAAGTTATTCAACAGCCAGGGGCCAGGAGAATCAAATTAAATTGAATTGTGAATCTGAAGGCAGCCAGGAAAGTGCATTTTAAACTGAGCTAAGCACAAGACACTGCATCATTAAGAGAGGAGAGTTACAGACTCACAGTGAAGAGGAGAGCACTTAAATTGCTCTTGAGTTTCCTGGAGAAGAATAAACATGTATGCAAAAGCCCAGGAACTGGTTTTTCAGTTTCAAAAGGAAATAATGTGTGTTCTGTCAGTGGAGCTGAGTATTCAAAGGCTCTACAGATCATCCCAATGGGAGCTGGAAGCAAGGACTTGAAGCAGTAGCTTTGTGTCTTTGGCAGTCTCTTGAAATTGGGACTAAAATTAAAAGTAGCTGAGTGCAACCAGTTCTAAATGTCAGATGGAACACTTTGCTCAGCATGCTGTGCACAACATTGATTTTCCTATGTTCCACATTGTTGTGTGAGATGTTGAATCAGGTTCCTGTTGGCGCATTCACTAATATAAGAGCTGGAAAGCAACTTGGTCCACAATTAATATTCTGTGATGCTATTGTCTGTATGCCTTGGACTTTAATTGGGCCAGGTTTTTGTGAACCTCTTTTATTCTTTTGACACCTGGAGGCTATGTTCTTCTTATTTCAATTTGATTAGTCTTTTTCGTAGAAAGTTCTTATGAATGCTTAAATGTTGTCCTTTCTGAATTTGTACTAAGACACAGAGAGGATTGTTCACCACATGCGAAGTGAACTATGGGAAGATTTTTTTCAAAGAAGTATTATGGTAGCTATCTGATAACTGTCATTACATACACAGTTCCAAGGGAATTTAAAAACAGGGTTGTGATTTCAGTGTCTGAATATGTGTTTATAATTTTAATAGCTCCTATTAAGGTTTATGTGAATGTGGACACCACATCTGTTGAAATTATAATCTTTTAATCTAGACAAAGAGTAGATCAAGTAAGATAAGGGGAAGAAAGAGGACTGTGGGCATTGAACAGGGTGTGTGCCAGAGGGCTATTCCCGGGAGTTCAGAGAGCCTCCTGGAAACTGAAGAATGACACTTCCTTGACTCCATCCATAATAGCTCTAAATATTAATGGTTCACAAGAGAGAGAGTGAAAACCCTCTGGACAAGAAAATCCAGGAATTGTTTCACACTGGGCTATGGTCCTCAAACTTCCAGCTGCACCAAAATTATCTGGAAGCCTTGTTAAAACATATAGTATTGGGCCCCACTTCCAGTTTCTCATTGGAAGGTGGAGGGGAGCCCAATAATTTGCGTCTCTGACGAGTTTCCAGGTGATGCTCATTCTTCTGGTCTAGGAACCACTGGTATAAGGCAGTGATTCTTGCCATATTTTCCTATGCTTTAATATGCAGAGGGATCATCTTGGAGAGTTTGTAGAAAGTGTAGTCTTTAAAAATTATACTGAGATGGGACTCAACACTGAGATTTCTGAAAAAGCACCCTTAGTGATTCTGCTATAATTGGTCCAGGGATCCTAAGCCATTGCATCATTTCTAACACTTAGTATTTGAGTCTTTCATGTTTTCATAACCATTTATGGGCTTGAATGTCAGTGAATGGCTGTTAAAGTTCCAATATGCTTTGAAAAATAAGAGAAAATAAAGTAGAAGCATGGCCATATATTAGTGGCTTAATGATACCAGAGGTGAAATCAAATCTCATGAAAGTCTGATATATTGTGATTCAATAATGTGAGCAGTTAGCATAACCTGATGTAATATAACAAGATTTTGGCATTAAAAACTTGTCCAATCTCTTGATATTGTGTAACATGTAAATAAATCAAATCTTTTGAAAGGAAGCAGCAAAATATAATAAAAAAAGAAGACTTCTGTGATGCATGTATCCTGGCTCTGGCATTTACAATGCTGGTCAGGTCACGTAAACTTTATGATGTTTAGTTTTTCTTACCTGTAAAGGAGACTTAGTAATTCCTATTTTACCATGTGTCATGAAGGATAAATAGATACGATATATGAGATGGCTAGTGTAGCTTCTGACATATTGTAGATGTTTAACAAATGGCAGTTATAAAAGGAAGAAGAAGGGGTAGGCCACACGCATCTGTCATTTCTTAGTTTTTGTCATTGACTGTTAGGTAGGGAATGCTTATCCAATTTAATACTCTTTGGTCAGCAATTTCAGCCAATGCTTTTTCATGCATTTAGACAGACTCTGAAAGTAAACATAATCTCTCAAGATTCTTATGAATCTACTTATGATTGAATGGACATTCTCATATTTTTAAAAATCTATTTCTCTTACAGATTAATAGGCTATTTTTCATCTTTTATCACATTCTGTTTTGGCTACTTTACTGAACTCTTGAAATGTTCAAATATTTTTGCTTTGCTCTTTTGCATTTATAATAGTGGCTTTTTAAAATGAAGAACTCCATCAGTGCCTCCTATAAGCTTATTTTGATTTGAAATATGGAAACTGTTCTTAATGATAAATTGAAATGATTTCAAACTTCTAATATTTTCTCTTTTTTATCCTTTTAGGTAAGTAATGAAAAGAGACATGAAGAATTGGTATTTCAAATGACCACCATGTTGCAAAAGGTACTTTTGGTATTTTAAATATTACTTTAAAGGAATCTTATAAAAAGACACGGAGGTTAGAATGTAATTAAGTACTATTTTGGTAAAAACAATTTTTATGAAAACAGATTTAAAGATGTTATAGCATTAACAATTTTTTAATTATAAGAAATGTAATATACTATAAGACTTTTCTTTCTGTAGTCTAGGCAATTATCATTGGTATCATTTGGGAATGAAAAGGTAAATAGATTGTCTCTTCCTCAAGATATTCATTGCTGGAAAAAGGGAGGTGGAGGAAAGAAATCTGAATACAATAGACATAATAAACACATTGGGATTTGTTCACCAAAGTCATCTATTTTCTCTAAGGGCTTATGAATTTGTTTTCTGTGATCAGAACATTATCTTCATAATTACTTATAAAATTGATTGCTATAAGGTTGTCAATAAAGTTATTTGATTCTAAATAATTCAAATAGATTGCATCCATGTGGAGAATTCTCCAGATTCTACATTTAAATCAAGGGGAAGGAGGGAAGAAGGAAATATTAGACTTAAATGATAGAATGTAAAAATTCTTAGTCTATTTATATCGCACACATGATTTGGGGAAATCTGCTTGTATTTTTAAGTCGTGAATCTCATCTAGAAGAATCCGTTTCTTTTCTAGAAGGAATCTACGAAATATTGTGAAAATCATCTCATTTGGTTACAGAGGAAACAATTACATGGTGAACTATTAGATGAGTTGTATGACACCATTAACATTGACAATCATGCAAATATCCATGATGTTTCAGGTGCAATAAATAACATATGGTGCCTTTGTACTAGATTAGTAATTTAATCCAAGAACAGAAGATATGCCAGAATGCCAAAAGAGGAGAAATCAACTTAGCTTTTTAATAAAATTGCAATTTTTAAAGCATTTCTCATTTTGCTTAGAAATTTCCTCAAGGCCTTACAAAATTCAGGTCATGTACTATTGAAGATAAGATAAAAGGAGTGGGGAATAACTTAAAATTTTATCCTCTTTGAATGATAATTATTTAACATACATTTTCTATACTTCATGGCTATTCTTTTGAGTGCTAAAGGAGAAATAGACAATTTTATTAATGTTGGTAATGAGATAACATTAATCAGCTTAGGCTATTTTCTTTTTGTTTTTGTTTTGTTTTTTGAGACAGGGTCTCCCTCTGTCACCCAGGCTGGAGTGCAGTGGCACAATCATGGCTCAGTGCAGCCTCCACCTTCCGGGCTCAAGTGATCCTCCCACCTCAGCCTGCTGAGTAGCTGGAACTACAGACTTGCACCACCATGCCCGACTAATTTTTGATTTTTTTGTAGAGATGGGTTCTGACTATGTTGCCCAGGCTGGTCGTGAGCTCCTGAGCTCAAGTGATCTGCCCACCTCAGCCTCCCACAGTGCTGGGATTATAGGCATGAGTCACTGCGCCTGGCCAGCTTGGGCTATTTTTAGAAGGGCAGATATTACTCTGCTTTATTACATAATTAATATTATTATATGAATATATTCCAATACATTTTGCTTCATTTGAGACTTCCAGGTATAAAAGCTAAGTCAGAAATTGGATAGATGAATCTTAGAAGCTCAGAGGAAAGATCTGTGATTATAGTATGATAAAGGAGAACCAATTCCACTTCTTGACAAAGAAGGGAAGAATAATGATTTGGTAGGGAGTGTCAAATGTTGCTGACAGGTCAAGAAAGATGAATGCATCAACAAACCAACTGGAGTTTTACATATAAATGTCCTCAGTAACTTTGGCAAGGGAAGTTTCAGTAGAGAAGCAGGGGTAGAAACCAGACCGGATTAGTTTGAGAAGTAAATAAGAGATAAGGGGATAGAGTTAGCAAAAAAGATAGCTTTTTGAAAATTTTGTCAGGAAATAAAAGTGCGGAGAATCCAGCGTCTGGATAGGGAAGTTGGGATGAGAGAGTCTTGAACATGTTTACATTTTAATGGGAACAGTGCAGAAGAAGGAGAGAGATTGGAGGTATGGGTTTCTGAAAAGGAAGGAAGTGATGGAGGAGGTGGTCTAGGAAGAGGGATTACCTATAGCCAGTGGGAAGGACAACATGCACATCAACACAGCTAAGGCAATCTCTGTAGGATGCGTGCAGATACAGATAGGTTTGTAGATTTGGTAGGGAAAATTGAAGGGGATGTCAAGAAAAATTTGTATTTTCTCTGTGAAGAAGATGTGGCCAGAGTAGTTAATGAGGATTTGAGGAAAAGGGCAAGGATTGAAGTATCGTTTGTGGAGAATGAGAGAGAGAGAGAGGTCAATATTAGATTAGGCAAGTATTGATGACTGGGAATTTGTAGTATCATCAAACTCCTTAAATTTATAAGTGTATTATGTACATGAATATTACTCTCTAAAAATCAGAAATCAGGGATCATCTGTTTTGAGGGAAGGTATAAGAAAGATTTGACTCTTCTTTTCTTAGGTCCTCAGTTTTGGTATGTGTCCTAATAAGAGCATTTTCATGGCAAAATTTAAGAACACTTTTTGACCTTGAAGAAAGGATTACTTTAACACTACAAAATATATGTCCTTTTTGCCATGACTGAAGAGAGCCTGCTGTCCTTACTCAGGTGTCCTTAGGTAGGCACATTCTTTCTGCTCTGCTAAGCATTCTTTGGACAGTAGAGTTAGACTGAAAGTGTTAAACAGGCCCTGAAGATGAAAGACTTCAGTTTGCTGACTTTGAATTATAAGAAGGTTAATATGTCCATTTAACTAGAAACTCTAAATTTCTGTGTCCCATTTGACTTTTAGGAGTGTTTACTTGAGGGCATAGAGCTCTTTGTAAGACTGAAGGGATCTTTTAGTTCAGGTACTTAAATTTTTTTCTTTGTTAGCTGCAAAACCATTTTGAAAAATAAAATCTGGCATTAGCAAAGAGAACTATTCTGATTACAGTGGGCATGCAGGATGTGGAACCCACCCACTTATCCCTCTTCTTTCCCCTCCTCCTCATCCTACTTTCAGGAAGTTCCCCTGAGACATCCTCATTGAATCTGGTGGCTCCATTGAACATTGTTTGAAAAGTACAATTCTAGGTGATCACAACTATATTGAATTTCATCAAAACATGAAATTCTTAAGATAAATTAACTGTTGTTTGAGGATAATTTTTTTCTTTACAATTAAAATAGGCAGGTTAGTATCTACTTTAACCTAAAGTATAAATTCTTACCTTATATTGATAATTTTAGTGATAGTATATACTAATTTTATCAAGGAAGCTCAGCAAAAATCACTGCTAAATATATTACAAATCTGGGATTTGAAAAGCCAAGCCCTTCTTTTAATTAATTTTGCTGACCAGGATTACCAAAGTTCGTTAATGTGGAGCCCTTCACTAAGCTCATGAGTAGAACTGTTCTTCGTTATCCTCAAAGGATAGACATATGACTGTGGCAGAGAGGATTAACTGCCCTGACATTGAGCAGCCATGAAAGCATGTAGTATGAGTTACCAGGATGTTGCTTTTCCATTAGGGTATGACTTTGCCTAGGGCTGAAAACATCCATAAAGATGGGATAGAAGTTTTCAAGAAAACCATACTTTTATGTTGGAAAGCAAAGTATTGATAAGGTAGAAAAGCCAATATAAGAAATGGTTAAAAGAGGGTTAAACTGGAGTATGAAGAACTTGCTAACAGAGTTATAAAGACAAATTAAAGAGGGCCGTTTAACTTGAGTTATTGTTAATAGTCAGCAATGCAATGAGGTGGATATTATAACTTGGTTTTACATTTGATGAAATGGAGGCTCATAGAGGTTAAGTAACTTGTCAAACTCATACTGCAAATCACCAGCAAATGTGGCAGAGCCAAAATTCAGATCCAGATCATTTTATTTTAAGACCAAAATGGGCTGGTGAAGTCAGACCAAACAAACAGACAGCTAGGATAAGATGTAGTTGAGACTGGAGAGACATAGCAAGAAAAGGGCTGGTCTTCAAAATCAGAGAGTGCTACTCAAGTCAAATACCTGCAATGGCTCACTGAGAAAAAAGTGGCTTTGAGAGTCCAATGAAGGTTTATATCCTTAGAACCTGCTTCCTGTTTAGTCACTTCCTCTCAACCTTCCCTCTAAAAACTATAATGATTAGAGGACTGTCTCTGCAGGGCTTAGGACTTATGCCACCAAAAGCTGTTAATATTGAGGTCAGATAGGAAGATCTCTGGCTGGCTGAGGACTCCCCATGGTTTTCCTGACTTTGTAAGTCTGGCGCATTGATTGGCTTTCATTCCAAAACTCATTTCCTGCTGAAGGTGAATCAGCTCAGTCTGGCCAGTGTCCCTGCCATCTTCTATTCTGCTGTAGAGCCCTGAACCACACATTAAGATCTGTACCTATGGCACATGAAATCTTGTTCTAGTTATACAGAAGAAAATCACAAAAGGAAATGAGAATAATTAAAAGGGTTAAATATGAAATCATATGGACCAGATATAAAATTTTGTCTCAAGTTTTTAAAAGTTATTTTCAAGGCCTAGGAGGACCACTGGGACGACTGGAAGAAAATAGCGAAGACTAAACTTTTTAGATACTGGGGAATAGAATACCTTGCATTAACGTGATTATTGATAATTGTATATTTCTGTTTGCATGTGATGCCAAAAATCTTTTGTATACTTCAGTGGTGTTAATTTCCCATCTACTTGTGTAAACTAGGTGTAATCTTTGAGCCATTTCCTGAAGTGATGGAATATTCACCCTTTGTTCTGGTCAATAATTGTAACATAATTTGCTTAAATTTAGATAACTGAAGCTTGGTATTTTCTGGAATTCTTTTTCCTGAAGAACATACATAATTGGGAGTAATGATAGAGTTAAGTTTGTTAATCTTAATCCATTTATTGTTTCTAACCATCAAATCAAATGGGAGATTTCTAGTCTCTCATCTAAACTTAATAGATATCTTATCCTTGTATTACTGTAACTGTATTTTATATGCAGTTCTTGTGACCACAGAAAATAATTCTCTTTTGTTTCCTACTATTTTTTTGTTTTGTTTTGTTTTGGGTTAAAATGGTTTATAATCTACATTAAAACTCTTTTCTGTCCTTATATGAAAAAAGATGAAAATGAAAACTCAATAAACCAAAGTAGCACGGATTTTTCTGAAAGAAAAGAACTGAATTTTGGGGAAAAAGTATTCACTCTGTGATGAGCGTTTCTGTACCCTACCTGGAACCAATTCCTTATTTTGTGGTCAGTCTATGTATAGCAGAGACTGTGTCGAAGGTATTGGTATCTGATAAAAGTGAACAAAGTTCTAATGAGCTCATTCATTTTTTTACTTTTTTCAAAGCAAAGATTTTTTTCTTCCTTTCCCACAATTTCTCCATTTAATTCATACACATTAATTGTAATTCTAGAAATGCTAGTAATTCTCTATTATAGTTACTATGATGGTCATAGAATTAATTAAGGTTACAACAGTAAAATTTGTGTTAATTATTATTAACCATATTCTTTAGTGTTAAAATTTTGCAAACAAATAAATAATAGAATAAGCATAAGTTTCTACAAACTTATATGAATCACAGTGATCTCCAATATCTGCGTTTACATGCTTAGAGGCAAAACATATAAAGAAACAGGAACTTAGCCTAATCAGTGAACTAAATCTGAAAATACGGATCTCACAGAAAAGATCATGCCCTCCTCAGCGTGAATCTGGCCCGCTTCATTTTGCTTTCCTCAGCTGGGGCTGTTCAGTGGTGCAAAGAAAACATTGTAAAATGCTTACGGCTTTTAGAAGTGCTTCTGAGTTCTTTAAATAATGGTAAGAGTTGCAAATCTTATAGGAAGGACCTGTCACAGAAAAGCTTTATTCAGTTGCACAGGGAATGGTGAACTCGTTACTGAGAGCTGCTCTAAAGAGAAACACTTATAAGAAAGGGGTACTGAAGTATTCATTATCGTAAAACTTAAAGAGAACAAATGTGTGTTTCATTGCACATCTAAACCTAATATCTGTAAAGGGGGTCTGTGGCAGCCAGCAGAGGGAGAAAGTGAAATTCTGCAGACGGATAAAAAGGAACTTTCAACACCCAGCTTATTTTTTTGGCAGAGATTCAATGCACTGGGAATTGTCCAGCAAAATGGGTTGCACTTGGCAGATCTGCAAATATGCATATTTCTGCTCAGTACCATCAGGCAAACATAGAGACTTCCAGAGGAACTAATTATCTTTTGTCTTTTTTACCTTAGAAAGAGGATAATATTTGGAAGACAACTATTAAGAGATTTTAGAGGCAATGTTTAAAAAAATGTTGAAAGAGAATTCTATATTTAGCCTTCTTTTAAAAAGTTTTTAATACCCATTTGTGCTCCCAAAATAATTTATCATAATTGGCAGAAGCTCAAACCATTTGGTTTATAATTTGAAGACTTTTGTTTATTATTTGCCTTTTTTTTTTTTTTTTTTTTAGATGGAGTCTCGCTCTGTCGACAGGCTGGAGTGCAGTGGCACGATCTCAGCTCACTGCAACGTCCGACTCCCGGGTTCAAGCAATTCTCCTGCCTCAGCCTCCCGAGTAGCTGGGATTCCAGGCATGAGCCACCATGCCCAGCTAATTTTTGTATTTTTAGTAGAGACTTTAGTAGAGACGGGGTTTCACCATGTTGGCCAAGATGGTGCTTTTTTTTTTTTTTTTTTTTTAGAGATGGTATATCTCGGCTGGGCGCAGTGGCTCATGCCTGTAATCTCAACACTTTGGGAGGCCGAGGCGGGCGGATCACGAGGTCAGGAGATATAGTTAACTAATCTAGTTAGCCATCCTGGCTAACACGGTGAAACCCCGTCTCTACTAAAAATACAAAAAATTAGCCGGGCGTGGTGGTTGGCACCTGTACTTCCTCATACTCCGGAGGCTGAGGCAGGAGAATGGCGTGAACCTGGGAGGCGGAGCGTGCAGTGAGCGGAGATCGAACCACTGCACTCCAGCCTGGGCAACAGAGCGATATATCTCACTATGTTGCCCAAGCTGGACTTGAACTCTTGGGCTCAAGAGATCCTCCCACTTCAGCCTGTTGAATAGCTGGGACTATGGGTGCGTGCCCACACCTGGCTGCCATTATCAATATATTTTTAAACAAACTCTGTTGCTATGTTTTTCCTTATTATGTTGTCATTGACACTAGAGAGAAGCTAAAGTTGCTCTATATATTTTGTCAGGTCATTGAGATAAAAAAAGAAAAAAGCTATCTACATCAGATATTTAGAGAATATTTGAGTTAGCTAGAAAAATAGTTTAAGTTTTTAAAGTGAGTTAGCTAAAAATACATCTGTTTAATTGATTATTGTGTTAATAATTATGTCTTCTTTGTTGTTAAGAAACTGATGTGGGCCAGGCGTGGTGGCTCACGCCTGTAATCCCAGCACTTTGGGAGGCTGAGGCAGGTGGATCACGAGGTCAGGAGATCGAGACCATCCTGGCTAACACAGTGAAACCCCGTCTCTACTAAAAATACAAAAAATTAGCCGAACGTGGTGGCGGGCGCCTGTAGTCCCAGCTACTCGGGAGGCTGAGGCAGGAGAATGGTGTGGACCCCGGAGGTGGAGTTTGCAGTGAGCCAAGATCGTGCCACTGCACTCCAGCCTGGGTGACAGAGCGAGACTCCGTTTCAAAAAAAAAAAAAAAGAAACTGATGTGGCACTTTAGGGACGGCAAGTGCAGTTCAAAACAAATTTTCCACTTTCTGATGAATATTTTTTAAGTGACAACAATTGGAAAAAGAGAAGGAACCGGTTATGTGAGCCAGTTGTTTCCAAACATACTTATTTTCTATGAAAAGATGACCAAACCCTGATACCCTGATAAAACATATTACTTTAGAAGCCATTTATTCCTACTTAAAAGTTCCCAAGCAAAATTTCACTCGTGTAATATTGAATTTAAGAAAATTAATCTAGTTGCCATTTTTTGAGTGGGGTAAGGGGTGGTGTATATTATGATTTTCCTATCCCTCCCATTTTCTTATCTTTTAAGTGGGGAATCCCAAAGTAAAAATATATATTCCTAGAAAAGTAACCTGGAAAATATCACACAATTATGAGAGCTTAATAGAGGATAGCCCACACTATGGTTTCTAGAAGACCAAATTTGTGAGCAGCCTAATTTATTTTGATATTATTAGGAAGAAGTCAGCCATGTGACCAGAGTGAAGTAGAGATATGTATATGTAAATTAAATAATTTTTAGGTTCTAGTCCCAGTTACTTGGGAGGCTGAGGTGGGAGGATAGCTAGAGCCCAGGAGTTCAAGTCCAGCCTGGGCAACATAGTGAGACCATGTCTTTAAAATAAATAAATAAATAAATATTAAAAAATAATTTTCAGATTCTAGAAATGACTACATCTAGGAAGACATGATGTAATGAATGTTGATGGGGGTGGTGTGGGGTAGGGGAAGCACTAGACTGAAAATCTGCTGAAGTCTCTAAGGTTTTTTCCAAATTTATAATTTTATGTTATAATATGTAGATGATTGGAACAAAGTGCACTACATAGGCTCGGGATGCCTATGTAACCGTAAAAAAACTCATATTAGCTCCAGTGGTAGAGTACAGAGTTCTTCATATCTATTGTTGCTAGGATCAATCCCATTCTAACCATCCAAATTATTTGATAATAGCATAGTGCTATATTAAATATTACTTGAATATTAAAATTTATGTAAATGGCCAGTAATGGATACTTAATTACCTTTCTGTAATGTAGAGTTTTATGGTAAAATGAAGCTTATTGTAAAGGATTTTGACTAGTATAATTATTTTTCCTGTTGAATATGTAAAGTCAATATTATCAGTCTCTCTGTGTTACCTAGGCTTGCCTTGAACTCCTGGGCTCAAACGATCCTACCACCTCAACCTCCTGTACACAGTATATTTTAATGTTAAAACAATTGATTTTACTTTGGACTTTTACTTATTCCAAACTTTCTTAATACTGTGTTTCTGATCAGGATTAATTTTTGAATAATACATTTTGAAACTATACATTTTTGGATTTTGCTCAGTTAAGTTTTGGAATCTGTATATGAGTTTAATACCTTGAATTCTCTGGATGGTTAAAAATATGTTTATAGCCTCTCTTTCCCTCATTTGTACAAATTTACAGATTGCCTCATCTATAAACTTGTTAGATATGCATCATAAAGTTGTACAGATATACCTGTTTTTGTTCAGTAACTTGAAAGCCCTATTTGGAAATCATAGAGAAGTTATAACATAGTGCATGGACTAGAGTTTGAAAGAGATCCAAACCTTATAAAAATGAGTCAATTTGCCATGGAATTTAGATAAATACAGCATTTTGAAATATTTTTTCTCTATATATTTTTAAATATTAGATAACTTTTCATGGATATTCATCCTGTCTTTTTTTTGATGGGAATATTTTGTTGAGTAATAGTAACATCTATAATTCTTACTTTCTACTAAGGAACTCAGGCACATCACACTTTGAGATAGTTTTTTTGGGGTTTCTTTTCAGGTAGATTTTTATTACCCTCCTTTTGTGAAAGTGGAAACTGGGGCTTCTGTAACTTGTTTGGGTCATATCAGTGGTGGTTCAAGTAGACTTCAAATCCACCTGTCTGACTCCAAAACTCATGCTTTTAATCATGAAGTCAAACTGTAATTTACGTATCTAAATACATCTATAATTGTTTTATATAAAGATAATAATGAAAAACCCATTTGTGTTACTGTTATTATATCAGTCATTTACAGAATTGGCATAGGGTAAAATTAGGTGTGCATATCGTATCTAAAGTGAACTAAAATCTGGCTGGGCATCGTGGCTCACGCCGGTAATCCCCGTACTTTGGGAGGCTGAGGTGGGCAGATCACTTGAGGCCAGGAGTTGGAGACCAGCCTGGCCAACATGATGGAACCCCGTCTCTATTAAAAATACAAAAAAATTAGCCGGGCGTGGTGGCACAAGCCCGTAATCCCAGCTACCCGGGAGGCTGAGGTAGAAGAATCACTTGAACCCAGAGGAGGATGGCGCCACTGCACTCCAGCCTAGGTGACAGAGCAAGACTCTGTCTCAAAAAGAAAAGAAAAGAAAAGAAAAAAATAGTGAACTAAAATCTGATTTTTCCCTTATTTGCTTACTTTTCTTTCTGTGATCTGAGGAAAACAAAAGGACCCAGCCCATGTGGCTTCATATTGGGAAGAAGAGGCACCCACTGTTTCCTAAAATTTAGAGCTAGAAGGGGTTGGAAAGAGCCGATCCTACCCCTGTTTTTTTAGAATCAAATTCCTGTATCACAGTTGAAATGATTGTCAAAGGTAAGAGCATAATGTTTGTCTGTTGGGGGAAAAGTCTGTTGGGGATACCTGAAGGAATACATGAATTTGAAGATGGGAATTCTATTTTTGGAAAGCTTAATGCAGCAAAGGCTGATATAATAGCAAGTGACGGCTGCCTCTGGGGCTGAGTCCCCATGACTACTGCTTTCTCCTGAATAATTACTGGAAAATACATCTAAACTAAAGTTTATGACTAAATTTAGGGCCTATATGTTCTGATTTTCCCCAGATAATAAGGCTATGAGTTCTACTGAATTGAACTGAGTTACAGAAATTAGATTTTCATGCCTTTCCTAGTTGTTACTGTTCTTTATACAGCTTACATATTTTTTAGAGCAGGGATCTTCTTAACTTCAAGATCCTCAGGGACTCAAAGTTCATGATGGGAGCTCAGCAAATGTACTGGGATAGACAGATAAACGGTATTTGTGTACGTCAAACTTGATCTAAAGACCACTTTACCAAGAACATGAGGCCCAACAGAAAAATAAGACTTTAAATAGATGTTTTTAAAGGATAAGTTCCAAAGAAAAATATAAAATGGGGTCTATTTTAAATTTTAAAGACTGGTAGCAAGATAGTATGAATTATTTTTTCATTTGGCCAGGTGCAGTGGCTCATCCCTATAGTCCCAACACTTTGGGAGGCCGAGTTGGGTGGATCACTTGAGTCCAGGAGTTCAACACCAGCCTCAGCAATGGGGTGAATCCCCGTCTCTACAAAAAATTTACAAAAAAATTAACTGGGCATGGTGGCATACACCTGTAGT
This sequence comes from Homo sapiens, assembly GCF_000001405.40. Classification (NCBI taxonomy): domain Eukaryota; kingdom Metazoa; phylum Chordata; class Mammalia; order Primates; family Hominidae; genus Homo; species Homo sapiens. The sequence goes on from NC_000004.12 coordinate 112,915,637, forward strand.
CTCAGCTATTTGGAAGGCTGAGGTGGGAGGAGCCCTTGAGCCTGGGAGGATGAGGCTGCAGTAAGTCGAGATTGCACCACTGCACTCCAGCCTGGGCAACAGAGTGAGACTCTGTTTCAAAAAAAAAATAAATAAATAAATAAATAATAAATACATTTTTTTCAATTTATTTTTGGATTTAATCTTGAGTTTGCTTTCATTATTGAGGCTTTGCAATTTTATTTCTGGGCACATGAATTTGCTTAGTATAATTATTATATAAGTATATACTCACTATAACATTTGTCTTTTATCACAGAATTTTATATACGGAACATAAAAAATTAATATATGCAAAAAGTTTTCCATTCCTGCGTAACTCTTTGGTGTTTTTAATTGTCAGATATTATTGATATTTAGATGCTCCATTGAGAAAAACTGTTGTGTGAGTTTCATTAAGATAAAAAGTTAAACTACCTAGTAAAAGTATATTTGTTTTATAGCTTAAACAGGACCATTTACTTGTGAATTTTGAATGTTACAATTTCTGAATTAATAAACCAGTCACATGAATCTGCAGGATTTTTGTGTTCTGACATGGTTCTGATGAGGAAATGGGCTAATATTAAACCTAATAGTTTATGGATATAAGTGACAAAAATCTGCCTTTTTCAGTTATTGAAAGTTACTGCACTAAATGCACTATACTAAAGCATCTTAATAACTGAGCAGGACTATGAGCCTCAGTGATAGAAAATAGGAGAATGTGGGGTTATTAATCAAAATCACCTTTAATGTGCATCATAATTCTACATCTAAATTATGGTTATGAAGCAGAGGAAACTGATCTGTAAAAATTTGAATAATCAATGCATAAATAAAATTCCTGCCTTCAATCTATTACATATTTAAGTATTTCAATGAAACATTTGTAGTCTGTATATTTGGTAGCAGTTTGGATAGCGATGTTACTGCGAGTAAAAGTGTCAACTTTCTACCAAGACCTCTTTCTCCTTAATGGCTGGGATTGAGTCCCTTTAATATCTCCCATTCCTAGCACAAGGTCAGACACATTAAAAAAGTAAAAAGCAAACAAAACCCCAAAACTCTGATACACATTTGTCAGATAAATGAATAGGTGAGAATTTATGAGAATATCTTCAACTAGTATAATAGCATCAGGATTTTCTATTCAATGTATTTTAATAAGCAATTTAATGATCAAATTATATATCTCATTATATATAAAGTACTGTGATAGATACTTCAGTGGCATTAAGATGTCTTAAACAGGGCCCTGATTTTAAGGAACTCAGAATCATAAAGAAAATATATAGGGACAACTTAAATTCCAGTGCCATAAATGCTAAGGGAGCAGAGAGGCATGGCTTGAATAAAGACCAATGGATGTTCTGGAAATTAGGAAACGCATATGCAAAGGCAGGGGGATGTGAGAAACATGCAAATTCCAGAGCAGCAAGTCATTCCAGATAGCTAGACCTCACGGTTTGTGGACATTATAGGCTTAAGCTGTGGTGTCCAAGAACCACACAACTACTTTATGCTACCAACTTTCTGCTAAAGTGACAAGCACCACAATGAAAAAGAGCTTCTAACAGACTCTTTATTGATAACTCTCGTGGATCTAAAATGCATTCCTTTTCATATTACATCCTGGTCAATTCTACAAACTTTTAATGCTCCCAACTTCCAATGTTGTTGCTTATTCTCCTATTTAAGATTTTGCTTTATAACTTTAGATTTGATGTCCTGAAGCAATATACTTATCCTCCACCACCAACACTGCCATGATCAGAATTCCTGCGGCTGATACAAACTGTAGGACTACATTGGAGGTAAAATTGGAAAGAAAAAAAGTGGAGCTCAGTTCATGAGGGACCTTTATTCCATGTGTTACATGTTGAAAGTCTAAAGAGAAAGAAGTGGCAGTGACAATAAACCTCAACTGTTTGGTTATTAAGATATATTATTAGATGACATACATATCTTGGGGATTTATCATGGTTCAGCATTGAATCCTTACTTTGTAGGCTCAGAAACTAAGTTTTTCAGTGCACTAAGAAGAGAGCAGTCTCTTGGGGGTGAATTCACATTAAGTAACCTCACAGGAAGTGATGTATAATATGGACTTTCAATATGTATTGTCACATAAAATTAGAATAGTTGTGCCAAATTAATTTGGTGTTCTGACTTTATGGGTCAATAAAACTATGTGGGAACAAAATACTAGCCAACAGGTTTTTACATAAGCACGAGACCAGAAGAAGGGGAAACAATAATATAATTTGATTGTCAATGGCATCAGGCTAGTACCTCAAAGCACTACCTGCATAAAAAAGATTATCTGGCTACCAGGATTGGAGTGCTGGAGATTTGGGGCCTGCTTATTGCTTCCCTTGCTTGGACTGGCACTATCAACATCTTTCTTCTCTGACCCTGCTTTACCTGTCAGTTCTTTACTTATGCTTTTAGTCAAAGCATTTTTCTGAGTAGTCACCTATTCAAAAGGTAAATGGGTTTTATTACACAGGCCATCTGATTGATTAGGGGCAGCTTCCTGGAAAAGTCTTGAGAAGGGCTCTGAGCTCAGCCAAGCTCAGTGGACTAGCGTGCTCCTGAGGTGATGGTTGAAGTCTGCCCCGGCTCAGGGAGGGTGGAATGAAGATAGCTTGATGCATTTGGCATCCTTGCATAAATAATTCAGGTTATGAAAGCACCCGAAAGAACATAAGTGGGAAAGTGACATCAACAAGTTTTCATTTAGTGAAAAAAAAAGATGATCAAGTCACCTTCCCAGATTTGCCGCACCCACTCTCACTCTGAAAGTAAGCTATTTGACAGTAGCGGGGAGACGTGGCGGAAACATCCAAGTCCGGACACTAGTTTTCTTTGATCGCCCTCACCATGGCTGCTGCATTTGTTGTCTGAGTGAATATTATTTTTCCTGTTTGAAGAATAGAGAGGGGAATGATGCCACACTCTAACAAATAAAACTAAAAAGCATGGCAGTAATATTAATTATGTGATCTACTGTCTTCTTAAGTGTTTTGAATGTTATTTGGCATATCAACAGAATGAATAGTTTTGGATTGCAAATGATTTTTTGTATCCTTTAATTTTCATGCTGTTTGCTTTCTGTTTTTGAAAATTTGTTGAAGATTGTCCTTGACAGTTTGTTTTTCTAAATTCCCACTTGTTTGTTTGCTTGGCTGTTGTTTATTTGGCTACTTCTTGAACGTGGAATTCATGTTTGCATATGATTATATCTGCATAATTATTTGAGTTTATATATAGCTAATCAGGGGTGGTAATATGCTCTGCTTTAATTGACCCCTGATTACTTCTGCTTTCTATGGAATTTCTATTTTCTTTCACTTTTTAGTTAATAAAGAGTTATTTATCATTTTCCACATGGAAATACCCTTTTAGGCCTGAGTAAAGTAGACCTTTTCTCAGCTTAGAAGAAATCTCTTAGTATACTGGAATATGCATACTAATATTGTCTTCCAGCTTTAGCTCCATATTGACAATTGGCAATAGCATCTTTTGTATTAGATGGATTTATAGGTGATAGTGAAGACTTGTAGCAGTTATATGGAGCAGGGTATAGCATTAAAGCAATTTATTATTTTATAATTTGTAACTCCATTAGCGTTACTCAGCTTTTATCTCTTTATCACAGTTATTTTTATTTATAAATGTTAACTATTTTTTAATGTATGTAAAAACAAGCATTATTTTAAATTAAAAACTATGGAAACTCACTCGTTGATGGTCATTAGTGTCGGTTGAAGTCCAACGTGTCAGGTAAGGAAATAAAACAATTAGTTTATTTTATGAAGGCCAATTTAATATAATTAATGTATATACTAATTTTCATGTATGTTTATTTTTAATGTGCCTAAGTATTAACAGTGCGAGATACATAGAACTTTCAATATTCTCTTTATTTTTCATAAGACAAATGAAATAAGTATAATACCAAATTTATTTTCCTTAACAAAAAGTAACAAGCAGAAAATTCGTAAACCAGCATTTTATTCAAACTCCTGTCATAGAAAATAATCATTTCTTTGCTTTAATTTTACTAAGTGTTTTGCAAATGTAGCAAAGTGTTGCCAAACTAATGTTCCAGTTGAGAAATACAAAAGCGAACTTTAAGTGCATTATATCTGCCATTAATGAAAATGGAACATCTTAATGCAAGAATAAATATCATTTTGATTAGTAAATCTGTCAGCCTAACTATAGCTTTTCTTTCTTGTAGCTATTAATAATTTATTATATTTAGAGTTGAATAATAATTTATTATATTTAGAGTTGAATAATAATTTATTATACGTAGAGCTGAATAATAACATTATGGAATTTTAGGTTTCTTGGGAAGGGCCTTTTCAGATCATTTGGTCCAATGATATTATTTTAAGTATTGTAGGAGTAAAAGTTCCTCTTCTCTCCAGTTAGTGGCAAAATTAGGTCTAGAACTCGTGTCTCTTGCCTCTAAGCCCAGGACTCTTTTTCACCACTCTATGTTGCCTCTGATTTATATGGCATGTAATATACACTAACCCTTTATAAGACACAAAGTCAATCTGCATTTGTAATGTTTAATGAGAAGACTCAGCTCATTCTTCTTTTTAACCAATGTTTATAAAACATACTGTGTGCTGGCAACAACTACTGAGATGGTTTTAGGGAGAGACATGGTCTCATGACATTAGAGTGGGAAATGTCCATATATACTGCCTTCCTATAGCCAAATAAAGTGTGTTTTCTATCAAAAAACCAGTTAGGAAATAATAAATGTTTCCAAAATATTATACATATACCAGAGGATGTAGAATATAACACTAAAGAGACAAAATGTGTTTTATTTCTATGTTTTAAAAATCTGAACAAAGTACAACAGTCTTTAAGGATCTTTGATTGTTTAAACATGTACTTTACTTTTACTTATAAATAATATAAATTGAACATTAATATTTTAAATTCTCTTGGATTTCCACAGGTTTTACCATATTAGTTATAAATAGTGTGCAGTTCAGCACAGATAAGCCATTTATTTGCTTACTTTCCTTATATAGCATGTATTTTCATACTACCATCAAGGATGCTCTGTTCTATTCTCATTTAGTTGAACCCTCATATTCACTATACCATATGGCACATACATGTACTTGAGGATCAAGGAGTCTCTCTTGTGCCTCACCTCCCACTTTTATTGCTTTGAATGCCAAATAGAAAATAGTTAAATATTATATTTAAAGTTAACCCTAAATTAAAGCTGTTGTATAGCTCATGGATCCCTGATAAAATATTCAGGGAATTTTATTTATTTAAACACATCATGTTATCAGAGTGTTTTTAATGGTGATTAGTCCAAATGAATAATTTTATGTATTATTTTCTTTTTCTCTTTTTTTTTTTTTTTTTGAGGCAGGGTTTCGCTGTATTGCCCAGGCTGGAGTGCAGTGGTGCGATCTCGGCTCAAACAATCCTCTCATCTCAGCCTTCCAAGTAGCTGGGGCTACAGGCGTGTGCCACGCCATGCTAATTTTTGTATTTTTTTGTAGAGACGGAGTTTTGCCATGTTACCCAGGCTGGTCTTGAATTCCTGAGCTCAAGCAATTCTCCTGCCTCGGCCTCCCAAAGTGCTGGGATTACAGGCGTGAGCCACTGCACCCGGCTGATTCTGTGTATTATTTTCTTATGAGAAATATTTTCTGCATTAGGTTTCTTTAAGTTTTTTTTTTTTTTTTTTTTAACTGTTCCATAATCTGACATTCTAAAAGTATAAATTATTTTGAGGATTGTGAGGTACTATTCCTCTAATTATTTTTTAAAGAGATGGGGTCTTGCCATATTGCCCAGGCTGGAGTGCAGTGGCAATTCACAGGTGCAATCATAGCACACTACAACCTCCAACTCCTGGGCTCAAGCTATCCTCCTGCCTCAACCTCCAGTGTATCTGGGACTATAGGCACATGCCAGTGCACTTGACTTCTAATTTTTTTCAAAACTTCAAGGGAGAATTTAAAATACCATTCTATTTTTTTTTTTTTGCATTATCCACTATTTTTTCCTGTGTTTAAATGTTTGTTATCATGGCTGCTAAGAAAAGTTTATTACTTTTTCATTGTCAAATGTCAAATAGCATGATCTTCTGTGGATACTACTTAGAATTTATAATAATTAGGCTTTAATTCATTTGTCTTTGAATATGTTTTTCTGGGAACTGACAACTGACAGGTACCAGATGGAATAAAACTCTGGTCTGAAAGAAGTTTCTGATGCTGGTAACCAGCTCCAGTGCTGTTTAGCATTATGGCCTCGAACAACTGACTAACATCTTTGGACCTATTTCCTGAGTTGTTAAATGAAGAAGTAGAACTGGATAACTTCTAAAGTTCCTTTTGATTCAAATATTGTAATTCTTGAAATTGTAGGGCTACTCTAACTCGTCTTAGGTGTGCCCACATACACCAGTTTCTAGAACCTTTGGTTTCCTTTCACTGCAGATTTAGAGAGGGGAGACTGGCTCTTTCTTTAAGAGTTTTTAGGACAGAAAGCATTTTTTGAGTATATCTGTATTGAGCTGCACTTTACTTTTCCTCACACTAACCTCTCTAATTTTCTTAAGTGGTTGTTCAATTCTCCTTTTCATGTAGCCCAAGGGTCCTATATATGGCTCATGGTGTTGCATTCAATCTGTGACTGGGTTTTTTTACTATCCACATGGGCCGCATTTAACAAAATAATTGACAAGGAATATTTACCAACGATGAAATCCTGTTCATCTGATTTAGCCCAACTAGGCTGAATGTTGAGAAACTTTTACCTTCAGCAATGTTCTCAAGACTGTAGAAAAATGATACAAAGAAGTAAAAGACAGGGGATTTGATTTAAAGATACTACAGTGCATATTCAATAATGTAGTTCTGCTAGGAAATATTTGTGATAGTAGCATAGACTGTTTAGCCTTGTGTGACAGAGTCAAAGATGGGGTAAGTCAGTTATTTTGAGCAAAGATTTCATATAGAGCTTATTTGAATATGAAAAGGAAGGTCCTAGAAGCTTGATGTAATAATCAGTGTAGACAATTCAATCTCAGTGTTGTATTTAACCTATTTAACTATGGTCAAAACCTGAAAAACAGCTTTAATTGAAAATGACTCTCTAATATTCCTTGTCACTGATACCAACCTAGCAAAACCCAAGCTACAGTAGAAGAGGAAATAAAGTTCTTATTTTAGGTTATCTCCTCTGTTTCTATTATTATAAAAGATAAGTTGTTTTTACTGTGTCTTAAAAGAAAAGATAATATCTTACATAATGCTAGGATTTTTTTTCTAGCTACAAAAAATACCTTGAATTTATTATTAGACGTGTAGATTTAAATGTCACAAGATATGTACTTCCAAAATAGAGGTGCAGTTTCATCAATCAGCATACCGTAGTGGACACATTATTCTATCTTTAACATTTTTATATTTTGACATTTAGTAGCACTAGATTCAAAGCTAATCCCACTCAACACATAGCACTAAACTAGACATCAGTGAAATTAAATACATTTATATTCCAATACTTTAAAAATTGCTCTAAGGGATAAAATTGAAGAGTTATTTTAAAGTGTTTTTAATGTTGTTGTTTCATTGCCTTTTTCAAATATAATGGTAAAACATTTGCCCTAGTAGAGTGCTGTATGTAGTGGGTACTTAATCTGCTAACTAAAATGTTAAGCTCTATACTGTGGAATTCCTTTCAAAATGAGGCTGATTATAAAGCTAAATGTTGCTGTATTTTTTTTTTTTAATGAGCACCTGTCTAATGAAATCCCCCAAAATAACAAGCTCAAGTGATACATAAAATTGGGGAAAAATAACATGAGCTAGATATTTTTGAAAAGAAAGAAAGACTGTCTTTTGCAAATATGAATTAGATATTAAGCAAAAAATTCATGACTGCTCTAAAATTAGAATGTTCATTTTAAGTACTCCCAAAGGGCCAAGTGCTGAAATTTGAACAGTGAAATGAACAAAATGGGAACTAAAATATTAACATTAAGCAATCTCTTGAGTAAAGTTGTAAAAAATAGTATTGGTCACTTTTACTATGTTGTTAAGTTTTAGATATTGGAATAGAGAGGAAGGAGGAATTTGGAAAGGAATATAATAAAACGCCCAGATTCTTGGAATTTGATTCAAACCAGAAGGAAATGATCTCTGAAATTCAGCACAGATTTTAAAATAATAATTCTTCCAGTTGTGAAACACTTTAGTCGCACCTCTGCTTTAATGACTTGGAAGATAATTCTATAAGTCTCAGTGTAAAAAATGAAGAATGATATATAAAAATGATTTTAAAGTTAATTAAAAAGGTGAAGATATACTGACATTTTAAAACTAAGGGCCTTTTAGATTTCTTGAAACATCTCTAAAAGATGTGAGCTGGCTGGCGCAGTGGCTCACGCCTGTAATCCCAGCACTTTGGGAGGCCGAGGCGTGGGGATCACGAGGTCAGGAGTTCAAGACCAGCCTGGCCAACATGGTGAAACCCTGTCTCTACTAAAAATACAAAAATTAGTTGGGTGTGGTGGTGGGGCCCCTGTAATCCCAGCTACTCGGGAGGCTGAGGCAGAGAATTGCTTGAACCCGGGAGACGGAAGCTGCAGTGAGCTGAGATCGCACCACTGCACTCCAGCCTGGGAGACAAGGCAAGACTTCATCTCAGAAAAAAAAAAAAGAAAAACAGAAAAAAAGAAAAAAAAGATGTGAGCTGTGTATTTATGGGTAACACTTCATCTTAGATAACCAGTGCATATTCTGGCTACTGCTGGGTGAGAAAACAGCTTTTTAAAAGCTGACTTATCAATACTATGATAGCCCCATTTAGAAAACAATAAAATATTTAATAATAAGGAAATTGTTAAATTATGAAACACATATGAAATTAGATATTATGTAGCCATTTAAAAGTAGCTTTTAAAGAAATTGTAATGACAGGAAAAAAGTCCACTACCAATAATTTTAAAATTTAGGATGTAAAAAAGTATATCTAACATGCTCTCAACTATGTTATTTATATGCATAGAAAAATGCAAAAGAAATACATATATGACAGTAGTGGTTTTTATCTGGATACATATAATTTTTCTTCATACTTTAATTTCAAATTTTTCTTACATTAAATATTTATTACTTTTTTTTTTTTTTTTTTTGAGACACAGTCTCGCTCTGTCGCCCAGGCTGGAGTGCAGTGGCGCGATCTCAGCTCATTGCAAGCTCCACCTCCCCGGTTCACGCAATCCTACTGCCTCAGCCTCCTGAGTAGCTGGGACTACAGGTGCCTGCCACCACACCCGGCTAATTTTTTGTATTTTTAGTAGAGACGAGGTTTCATCGTGTTAGCCAGGATGGTCTCTATCTCCTGACCTCATGATCTATCCGCCTCGGCCTTCCAAAGTGCTGGGATTACAGGCGTGAGCCACCGCACCTGGCCATTTATCACCTTTTATAATTAGAAACTACATTTTTAAAAGCTTGCTGATTTCAAAGGTGACTGTAAATTACAGTAGTGAAAATAATCATTATTGAGTTTGTGATAAAAGCTAGTTTTTTGAAATGTACAAGAAAGAAAAGAGCAAAGAATGCAAAAAACACCTAGATTAACCTGAAACGGGTCAAATGCTTCAGTTTGTCTCTCAAGTACAGCAGCCACTGTCTTAGAAGAATAACATCCATCTGTTTTCTATCTGCTACAGTACATTGCATAACATTTTTAGAAATATGCATGTTTCCTTTTACTATTGATACAAAAGATATATCTGCATAACGTAGATCCTATTGACTATAGAAATTATGTCCTGAAAGAAAAATTTCACTTGGTTGAAAAAAATAATAGCTTCAATCTGCAGGTCCCTGCTAATATGAAACTTGGCATAGTCCTCCTAGTTCCCAATAATAGTGATAGTAAATACCTCAAAGAAATTTTTAATTAATAAAATCAAAAGGTATAAGTATACTATAAACATTTTCTGCCTACTTGAATGGAATAAACTTGGAAGAACTTTGGGAGATTACATAGAAGAGTTGGCTGTTACAGAATTATAAGTAGTTTAATTAAAGTTGTAGAGCATGAAATGAGTTTTTTTCCTGGATTTCTCTGGTAATCAATCCATTATTCCACAGTTGGATGGAACCATGGTCAGCAAAGGGAGAAAGCTTTAGTGGTCATGAAAAGAAAATTTGGTGATACTTTTCTTTTAATAGAATGTTTACAAGTAAAGTCAGGCATTAATAGTTTGTGTTCTAGACCTCTACACAAAAATTTCAGAAATAACTTGCTTGAATCTTTTATTTTTTAGCCAACAGTGTGTCCCATCTTGGGCTGAAGTGGGGGGAACCTCTATCAGAGTCATTTTAAAAGTTCAGGGACTTGGATTCTGTGACTGGAGAATCTGATTCAGTAGGTTTTCAGTAGTGTCAGGGAGACAGTATTTAAACAAAACAAAGCACAGCAAAACAAAACAGAACAGAAAGCCTCCTCCAGTCATTTTGGTGTGCAGTCCAAATTGAGAATGACTGGGCCATATGTGCCAGCCATTGAGGATACAAAGAAGTAAGTTATCAGGCAGATCCTCATGTTGTTCATTCTCTGAAGAGCAGCTCAGAGTCTACTCTTTAAAATTGGTAAAATATTTCTTTTTCTAATAAAAAAGATCTTTTCCTGTCATGAACTCTTCTCCCACATGTTGATAGTTTTTATGTTTATTGTCTGAGGTTCTACCATGCCAGGAATATGAGGGCAAAGAACAGGTCAGTGATTGATTCAATTATGTCAGCATAAATTATCAAAGATCTGAAATGGGCAGAAGAAATCACTGGGTGTCTGTTCACTGGAGTGCTAGGTGTTGTCTAACAGACCTCCAGGAATTATCTGATTCTATAAGGGTGTGCATATTTGATTCTCTTTCTAAGCTATTTTATAACTTGTAGAGGTAGATGTTAATTTGTAGAAAACTGATAAGGCAAATGAATCTTTTCCATAGAAATGCTAATACACTTTGTCAAGCAGAAATATAATTAATTTCTCTCCTAGAGAAAAGTAATCCCAAACATTAAATTTTACTGCCATGTAAGATACTAACCAGCTTTACATATATTAGCAAAATCGTTTCAGTATTTAGCATATGTGGTTGTCCATATTGTATTAGTCCATTCTCACGCTGCTCTAAGGAGATACCTGAAACTGGGTAATTTATTAAGGAAAGAGGTTTAATTGACTCACAGTTCCACAGGACTGGGGAGGTGTCAGAAAACTTACAATCATGGCCAAAGGGGAAGCAAACACATGGCAGCAGGAAGGAGAATGAGATCTGAGCAAAGGGGAAGCCCTTTATAAAACCACCCCATCTGGTGGGAAATTACTCATTATTACAAGAATAGCATAGGCCTGGGGAGGGAACCACCCCCATGATTCAAATATCTCCACCTGGTCCCACCTTTGACCTGTGGGGATTATTACAATTCAAGGTGAGATTTGGGTGGGGACACAGCCAAACCATATCACATGTACATATATCAGATTCACCTTTGAACCAGTTTTAACATCTTACTGATCCTCTCATTAATTAATTAGCTACATAAAATCCTTTACTTATATCATCTTATATTGGTATGATAGCTATGACTTTACCATTTTGAAAATGGTGCTTTAACAACTATAAATCCTTACGTGACTCAGATTTGCCTTTGGAATGGATTTTCCATCTGGGATATTTCTATATCTGTTGCTCTTTCAAGTAGTGGCTATTTTCTTACTCGTCACTACATGTCACTGGATCAGGAGACAGGATATTATATTCCCTTTGCTCATTGTTGCCCCTTTCAGAAGTTGAGACAATACATTCACAAGTCTTTCTCTGATATCACAACACTAAAAAACAGAAAAAATTGGTACATCATCTGCCCTTGCTTTTTCTGAAAAATCTATTGTTTCAGATTTGTCAAGAAAAATCAAGTATCTTGCAACCATTGGTTACATCATAGTCATTCTCATGTCTTTTACTAAACTATAGTCATAAACTCCATTGCATTCACTGGAGAAACATTCCTTGCTATCATGGCAACAGGCAAAACATGTCAAAGTGATATGTAACTTGTACATATTTCTCTGACCTGTTGTATGGAGATGTGACTTTGTTCCTGAAACAATTCAAAGATATTCTCTTTTGCTTTCTAGACCAATTAACTTTCTCATACTGAATAACCAGAACAAGAAAAAGCTGTCACTAGATACTTTCCGTAGTTAATTAAGAAAACTCCAGCTGTGCCATTAGCCTACATAATTTATAAGCTCTTTCTGATTTTCTAACATTCCGATAGGTTCATTCTATTTTAAAAAATAAAAAAGAAGTACACTTTTGGAATATGTCATAAAAAGAAACATTTACCAAAGAGTAAAATCATCTGTGATAACCTGCTTATTAAATTTTAGAATTCTGATTATACATTTAAAAATAGTACAAATACAGAGAAAATAATACTACACTGGACTTCACATTAAAGTGGTTGCTTTATTTTTTTGAACTCGCTTTGAAGTAATTATACTTGCCAGAAGTGTCTTTCATTTTTCTAAGCTGATAGAGTTAGAAAAAGTCTTAAATAGAAAAATAGTATGGTACTATAAAAATAGTATGGTACTATAAAAAATAGTATGATACTGTGGTATGTAGTTATCTAGTATAGTACTGTGAGACATTTCCATTGTCAACCATAAAAATATACATTTTTCTTAAAAGATCTAAGATAGAATTTTTTGGCAATCATAATTGTTACTGGCTGAACTGTGTCTTCTCTGAATTTCGTATGTCGAAGTCCTAACCCTCAGTACTTTAGAATGTGGCTGTACTTGGTTATAGGGTCTATAAAGGGGGTGATTAATTTAAAATGAAATCATGAGTGTGGGTCCTAATCCAAGACGACTGGTGTCCTTCTAAGAAGAGGAGGTTGAGACTCAGACACTCACAGGACAAAGACACACACATGTGTGTAAGAAAGACCACATGAGGACACAGGGAAGAGACAGCCATCTGCAAGCTAAAGAGAGAGGCTTCAGAAGAAACCAGTCCTACTTGACACTTCGATCTTGAACTTTTAGCTCCCAGAATTGTAGAAAATACATTTCTTTTGTTTAACCCACTCATCCCGTCTTTAGGTTTTTTTTTTTTTTTAAGACAGAGTCTCGCTGTGTGGCCCAGGTTGGAGTGCAGTGGTGTGATCTCAGCTCACTGCAACCTCTGCCTCCTGGGTTCAAGTGATTCTTCTGTCTCAGCCTCCTGAGTAGCTGGGACTACAGGCGTGCACCACCATGCCCAGCTAATTTTTGTATTTTTAGTAGAGACGGGGTTTCACCATGTTTACCGGGCTGGTCTCGAACTCCCAACCTCAGGTGATCTGCCTGCCTCAGCCTCCCAAAGTGCTGGGATTACAGGCGTGAGCCACCACACCCAGCCTCCATCTTCAGTTTTTTAAATTGAGTTCAGGGTAGAATATGACAACCACCACTCAGATTAGTCTATAAATAGGTAAATTTTTACTTACCAGTTAAAATATCTTTGACTCCTTTCTTTGGTCAAAGTCAACTTCTGCTTTTAGGAAGTCCATGATTTACACTACTATACTTCTCTTATTGGCTTGAAAATGATTGACATCTTATTAATTCATTAAGTAAATATCTGTTCTAAAAAGGGATTACAATGAGAAAGGCAAATTGCCTTCAGAATTATGAACAAGTGAAGAAATGAAAAGATCTTTATGGCAGGGAAGCTCCTGAACTTGTTGGCTTGTTGTGACCAATCTTCATCCATTTTGAGGATTCATTGTGTTATTGTGTTCATGGGCAGCACTGCATTAATCTTTCTTCTGTGCTTCTGTTGTGGCCAGCATAGGCACTAGCCAGCTGGCCAGGCTTAGTTTTTCCTAAGAAATCTTCTATTTCTTGACCTCAGATGACTGGTCTCTAGGTGAATTCAGAGATAAATGAGGTCTGGATTACAATGAGTGATTGTTCTTGCATCCAGAGTCAGGCGCCTCCATGGTAGTTCTCACTCTCACAATCTGCACTGAAGACTCAGCCTTAGTTCTCTCTCTCTCTGAGGACCACAATCCTAATGACGCCCCTCTCTGCATGAGGACAGGCATGGTGACTTGTTCTGTCTTCTTCCTAGAAAGTAGTAGCCTATACAGATGTTGAAAGAAAAATTATCCTATGCCCAGGTTACGAGTAGACATTACCCAGTTAGGAGACTGTGATAGGATCTGTGATTCATAAAGTACAGTCTCTTTGAGTGATTGTCTTGTCACTTGTGAAATAATGAACTTTTTGCTTCCAATGTCACATAATGGAGTTGGTGAATAGGGTGTGCTGAAAGGGTAGAGGAATGGAAGGAGGAAGATCTGATCAGAAATGAAAGCTCCCTTTTTTTTTTTAACAGCCATTTTCCTGCTCATTGAATATGTTTAGGCTGTGTCTGGTGGCTCACGTCTGTAAGCCCAGCACTTTTTGGGGGCTGAGGCGGGCAGATTGTTTGAGCCAAGGAGTTTCAGACTAGCCTGGGCAACATGGTGAGACCCAGTCTCTAAAAAAAATACAAAAATTAGCCAGGTTTGGTGTGCACACACACCTGTAGTCCCAGCTACTTGGGAGGCTGAGGTGGGAGGATCACCTGAGTCCAGGGAGGTCAAGGCTATGGTGAGCTGAGATCACGCCACTGCACTCCAGCCTGGGCGACAGAGCCAGACCCTGTCTCAAAAAAAAAAAAAAGAAAAGAAAATGTTCAAGTGTTGTTGAGGAGTGCTACCTCTACCCAGGCAGGGGAGTTATAGTATGAGGGGCACACAGGGAAGGCTGGATTTGACTTTGTAAACGGTTAAAAAAAAAATGTAGGAGTAAGACTTAAAGTGATGACGCCGGGTGCAGTGGCCCATGCCTGTAATCCCAGGACTTTGGGAGGCCGAGGAGGGCAGATCATGAGGTCAGGAGTTCAAGACCAGCCTGGCCAACATGGTGAAACCCCGTCTCTACTAAAAATGCAAAAAGTTAGCCAGGTGTGGTGGTGCACGCCTGTAATCCCAGTTACTCAGGAGGCTGAGGCAGGAGAATCCCTTGAACCCAGGAGGCGGAGGTTGCAGTGAGCCGAGACCATGCCATTGCACTCCAGCCTGGGCGACAGAGCAAGACTCCATCTCGAGAGAAAAAAAAAAAAAAGACTTAAAATGATGAAAGGACAACAGACAAATAACAAGCAGAGCCTCAAGACATTTACATATAGAAAATGTCTCAGAGGAGAAAACAAGTTAGACAGGCATTGAGAAGAACTACCAGAATTTTGGTCAGAACACAAGGTCATGGAGGCCTCAAGGTATGAGTTGTAGATAGGCAGGAAGTCTGATGATTTCTAACAGTTCCTTCAGTCCTTTCCTCACAGTTATGATAAGAGGTTTTAAACCCAGGGTCGACTCTGCACATGGCTAGGGAGAAAGGCTGGGTGCAGATGATCAGAGGGAATTTTTGGGGAAGTGGTTAAGCAGAGCAGGGCCGTGGAGACCGGAGTCTTAGTGGTTGGAAATAAGAGGCACCCTGAAAAACTGAGGTCTTCTTCTCAATCCCATTTTATCGTAGACTCAAAGCATAAATCTGTGGTTTTCAAGAAGCTGTAGGATTGCTGTAAGCTAAAGAAAAGCTTGATTGAATACTATTTATTTTACGTACCTTTCAAAGATTTCTTTCTTTTCTTTTTTTTTTTTTTTTTTTTTTTGGGACAGAGTCTCACTTTCGCCGAGGCTGGAGTGCAGTGGTGTGATCTCAGCTCACTGCAACCTCTGCCTCCTGGGTTCAAGCAATTCTTGTGCCTCAGCCTCCCGAGTAGCTGGAATTCCAGCCATGTGCCACCATGCCTGGCTAATGTTTTTGTATTTTTAGTTGAGACAGGGTTTCACCTTGTTGGCCAGGCTGGCGTTTCAAAGATTTCGACCCTGATAAGTTCCATAAAGGCTCCTGCCCACTTGAAGTAACTGTAGGTTGGTCTTGATGTTTGGAGAATCATGTGATAACTCTTTCAAACAGTATCCTATGCTGATTTATAACCCCAATCCAGATGTCTCTAACTATCTTAATAGGAATTGCACATTTTAAACAGGTAGAGTTAATATTTGCTTATAATTGGAAGTGACATGAAATCAAACAATAAAACCTTATCATGACTGTAAAAAATTGAGAATTGCTGTTTAATAGAACATAGGTACTGAAGATTCAATTTAATCCATATATTCATACTTAAAAAGACAACATAGAATATTATAGTGCTCCTACTTTTAAGAACTAGCTATTTATCAACAAGTGTTAACTTGTGGTGTACTAAGTGCAAGAGACAGCCTTTAGCCCGAAGATAGTGATAAAAATGACATATTTGCTTTGGGAGGCTGAGACGGGTGGATCACAAGGTCAGGAGATCAAGACCATCCTGGCTAACATGGTGAAACCCCGTTTCTACTAAAAATCCAAAAAAATTAGCCAGGCATGTTGGCTTATGCCTGTAATCCCAGCACTTTGGGAGGCTGAGGTGGGCGGATCACCTGAGGTCAGGAGTTCGAGACCAGCCTGACCCACATGGTGAAACCCCATCTCTACTAAAAACACAAAAATTAGCCAGGTGTGGTGGCGCGTGCCTGTAATCCCAGCTACTCAGGAGGCTGAGGCAGGGGAATGGCATGAACCCGGGAGGTGGAGCTTGCAGTGAGTTGAGATAGCGCCACTACACTACAGCCTGGGTGACAGAGTGAGACTCCGTCTCAAAAAAAAAAAAAAAAAAAAAGATACATTTGGCTGAAATGTTATATGATCCTAACAAAGTAGTTTCATTCTGCAGCTGTGACTTTTTTTTTTCCTGTAAAGAGTATAAGTTTTAGTGTTAGTCCAAAGTTTAAGTTGTTTGTAATCAGATTTAGTAAAATGTAAGGCCAATGAGAAAGAGAGTCTTTATCTTAAAAATACTTCCCAGATTACTACCTATAATTTCACTCTTCAAAGATCTCTTTCAATTAGTTTTCAAAATAGTTTAATACTAGAAAACATTAAAATTTCACTCATGTAAATGAGTGAAATTAATCAAAGGAATCAACTTCATGTTACTTTTGAAATTCTATTTCTTTCTATATTCAGAATAATGTAAAAGTTCAATGATCCACCAAAATCAACTCCCTTTCTTCTTTGCCTCTGTTATTGTACCTTTTTCTATTTGGTTATAATTTCCATGGTATAGCAGAAATAAGAATGGATCAGAAGTTAAGGGGCATGATTCATGAATAAATTAACTGTAAAAAATGTTTTGGATATAAGCAGGGAAATTTGGATATTAAGTGGGAATTAGTTGATATTAAGAAATTGTTGTTACTTTTGTTAGCTGTCATACCAGTTCATGGTTATATAAACAAATGTACTTACATATATTTTAGAGATGCACACTAAAGGATTTGTGGTGAAATGCCAGGATGCCTGGAATTTGCTTTAAAATACTTTAGCGAAGTATTAAAAAATTAAGTGAAGACAATGTTATTAATTGTTAAATCTAAGGAATGGAAATATAGGTGTTCACTTTACAAGTCTCCCTCTGCTTTTATATATGTCTGAAATTTTTCAAAATAAAAAATTAAACAAAAACAAAACCAGAGGTAGATATTCTGGTTTCTGATGCACACTCTGTAGCTTTGGATATATCACCTAACCCTTCTGATTTTCAATTTTTCCAGTTTTAAAATTGAAGAAAAAAAGAGCCACCTAACTGTGAGGATCAGACAGTCTAATTCTTTTTTTTTTTTTTGAGGCGGAGTGTTGCTCTTGTTGCCCAGGCTGGAGTGCAATGGCACAATCTTGGCTCACCGCAACCTCTGCCTCCTGGGTTCAAGCGATTCTCTGGCCTCAGCCTCCCGAGTAGCTGGGATTACAGGCATGCTCCACCAAGCCCGGGTAATTTTGTATTTTTAATAGAGACGGGGTTTTGCCATGTTGGTCAGGCTGGTCTCGAACTCCTGACCTCAGGTGATCTGCCCACCTTGGCCTCCCAACGTGCTGAGATTACAGGCATGAGTCACTGTGCCCGGCAGAGATGGTCTAATTCATATGAAAGAACTCTGAAAAAAGTAGAAAGTGATTTTCTAAAATAAGGTACAAATAATTAATGTAAACATAATCACCTAACCTTGTGGAATTTTTTTTTTTTTGAGAAGCAAATTGCAAATTTGTGATAGATCTAAAGGAGATTGACTAAGAGGGTGACCATCTGGAAATGACGTCATGTGAGAATGGTTAAAGATGCTCGGGAGATTGAGCCTAGAGAAAGGAAGATTTGTGAAAGGGTTGGGGGAGTTGGAGCCTGTTCGTTGTTTTGAAATATTTCAAGTTATGAAAATTCACCTAGTGTAGTTTCGGGAGACAGAATTGTGACCAATTTATGAGAGAATAAATTAGAAGGTTTGGAATCAGAATTTGGAAGAGCTTCTTAATAAAAACTTTTGCAAGATAGAATTTAAGTGTCTTGTAAAATAAGGTGATTTCCGTAATTGAAGTTTTCCGAGGAAGCTAGTGACCAACTGCAGAGCCGTGCTAAGGTGTTTCTGTCTTTGACCTCGAGGTTGGATCCAGCTGAGCCTTGAGAAACATTCCAGCTGTCTGTGGCTTCATGAGTCCCTGTTGCTCCATATCTTTCTACTTTTCATTTTATCCAGAACATTACTCTCTCGACATTCTTTTCTTCTCCCTCCGGTCTCCTAATTCCTTTCTATTTGAATTTTTAATCAACTTTTCTATATTTTCAACATTTTAGTCAATTCAGTGGTATTTATTAGATTCCACGACCACATTTCCTCTTTCAGCCCCGCTTCCTCTCCTCAGTATTTATTGTATTTGTTTCTTCACATTTTGTTAAACACATGGTTACAGGATAGAATTAATTTATAATAACTATTGAGCATTCTTTATGTGTCAGGCAATATTTTTGGGCACTGGAGATTCAGCACTGAACAAAATAAAATATCCTTGCTTTCATGTTGTTTATATTCTAGTGGAAGGTGACAGAAAAATGAAATATATGCTATGTATATGTGATGTATATATTACACTTATGATAAGTGCTACAAAGAAAAATACATGAGAGTGCTGGGAATAGGAAGGGCAGAGGAGGGGATGTTCTTTATATAGGATAGACAGGAAGGTCATTCTGATTAGATGGCATTTGAGTAGAGATCTGAAGGGAGTAAGAGAACAAACTTTAGATATTGGAGGAAAGAATCTTCCATATTTAGGGAACAATGGGGGACAAAGTCCTCAGGTGAGAACGTATTTTGGTTGTTCCAGGAGCACCAAAGCATTCACTGTGGCTGGAGTAGGTAAGCAAGGAGGAAGTGTAGGAACCGAAGTCAGAGAAAGTGTGTGTGTGTGTGTGTGTGTGTGTAGGGTGCAGTTGGGTGCTAGAACACATAGTGCCTTATAAGTTCTTGGCTTTACTTCTAGTGAGATAGGGTGCCACAGGAGGGCTTCTAACTGAGATGTGACATGATCCAAACTGTATTTTAAATATATTTTCTTTCATTCAGATTTACTGCTTTGAAAAGTGGAAGTTAAACAGAAATCTAAGTGTAAAACTGTGAAGGCAAATATATAATCTTTGGTTTATTTGAATCACTATTCTTTGAGTCCTTCTGATGGGGCAGGCATAGTGCCTAATTCTAGGAGAAAGATGTCTGAGCCAGGTACTTGCCTTTGAGATCATCTGTCTGGTGTCTTTTCTTCTCAGTTCTGTTATTATTGAAGCACACAATAAGCATAACAATGACAATGACAAATCCCCTTTGAGAGTCTTGCACAGTTAATACTGTGAAGAATATAAAAATAGGCCTAACACTTTGGGAGGCCGAGGCAGGTGGATTGCTTTAGCTTGGCAGTTTGAGACCAGCCTGGGCAACATGGCAAAACCCCGTCTTTATAAAAAATACAAAAATTAGTTGGGTGTGGTGGCGCACACCTGTATTCACAGCTACTGGGGAGGCTGAAGCAAAAGAATTGCTTGAACCATGGGAGGCAGAGGTTGCAGTGAGCCGAGATCATGCCACTGCATTCCAGCCTGGGCAAAAGACTGAGACCTTGTCTCAAAACAAACAAACAAACAAACAAACAAACAAACTCAACCAAGAATATAGAAATATACAATAAGACCCCTCAAAGAACTTAACCATCATTCACAGCAAGAGACAAGGAAAGACATACAGAAATTAAAAATTTACAAAGCAACATCAGTGATGGAAAATAAAGAAAGCTAATCTTTCCTGGGACAGGTTAGTCTCAGAAAGACTGTTGCTAAGTTAATCTGTCACTAGCTCAAAATGACAGTCTGTCAGTGGCCACTGTCACCACCTATAGTGTAGGCAGCTTCTGCGTTCTTTTTTCCTGAAGCATTGCTTTGTCTGTCTCTGAAATTATGTTAATTGAAAGTTTGTAAATGGAAGAGCTTCAGCATTGTACAGAACCAAATGGCTGATGACTTGGGAAGTTAAGTGTAAAGAGCTCTGGGATGTGAGAAGTAGAAACAATGATAACACTAATAATTAATATGTATTGAGCACTTTCTATGTGCTAGATACTTTTCTAATCATTATCCTTTTTTTTTTTTTTGAGATGGAGTCCCACTCTGTCACCCAGGCTGGAGTGTAGTGGCGTGATCTCAGCTCACTGCAGCCTCCGCCTCCGGCGTTCAAGCGATCCTCCTGCCTCAGCCTCCTGAGTAGCTGGGATTACAGGCGCGTGCCACCACACCTGGCTAATTTTTGTATTTTTAGTAGAGATAGGGTTTTACCATGTGGATCAGGCTGGTCTCGAACTCCAGACCTCGTAATCTGCCTGCCTCGGCTTCCCAAAGTGCTGGGATTACAGGCGTGAGCCACCACGCCCGGCCAGCATTATCCATTTTTAAACTCGTTTTAGTCTTGCAAACTTATGAGGTACTATTACTATTCCTATTTCACCAAGATGGAGGTCAATAATCTACACAGATCATGTTCCAAACTACTATACCAATAAAGTTTATTTATAATTTTTTTTTTGTTTGTTTGTTTTTTGAGACAAGGTCTCACTCTGTTGCCCAGGCTGTAGTGCAGTGGCGTGATCATAGCTCATTGCAGCCTCAATCTCCGGGGCTCAAGTGATTCTCCACTTCGGCCTCCCAAGAAGTTGGGACTACAGGCATGCACCATCGTGCCTGGCTAATTTTTTTAGTTTTTATTTTTAGCAGAGACAAGGTCTTACTGTGTTGCTCAGGCTGGTCTTGGACTGAACTCAAGCAATCCTCCCGCCTCTGCCTCCCAAAGTGCTGGAATCATAGACATGAGCCATCACGCCTGGCCTACTTATAGTTTTTAAGCACTTTTAAAATTTTTGTCCAACAAATAGATCTGAATTTGGTTCTGAAAGCTTACAAGTATCCTAGCAGGGGATCGAAGGATGGGTAAATTAGTGATGGGTGACAAAAATCTCACCTTCCATGACTTACCTTTTGGATGGCAGGCTCTATATGGAAGCGGCTATAAAAGTACTCAAGATATGTGAGTATAGAATTTCTTTGTAAAACCACAATTATTGTCTTTTTTTTTTTTTTTTGAGACACAGTCTTGCTTTCTCCACCAGGCTGGAGTACAGTGGTGCGATCTTGGCTCACTGCAACCCTCTGCCTCCTGGGTTCAAGTGATTCTCATGCTTCAGCCTCCTGAGTAGCTGGGATTACAGGCACCTGCCACCACCTCCAGATAATTTTTGTGTTTTTAGTAGAGACTGGGTTTCGCCATGTTGGCCAGGCTGGTCTCCAACTCCTGACCTCAGGTGATCCACCCGCCTCGGCCTCCCAAAGTGCTGATATTACAGGCGTGAGCCACCGCGCCCGGCCTTATTACCTTTTTTGACTTGGACATTTTTCGGTCTGATTAGTTTGGTTTCCTTGCCTGAAGCAGTTACATTCATTATTGTTATGCTCTGAAGAAATTCCTATTCTTTAGGCCTAGCCTACCCTGAAGGTCTATTGGCTATGATGTTTTCAGTGGTACAAGAGACCCTCAAATAGCTCATGTAATGGATATGGCTTATAGAATTGAGGTGGTCCTTAGAAAAGATGGCCTCTGCAACTTATTAGCTGTCTTAGTGGCCTTGGGCAAGTTATTCCATCTTTTTATAACAGTTTCCCCAGCTGTGAATGAAAATAATAATAGAATCTAACTCATAGTGTTGTTATGAGTATGAATGAATATTTTAAAACACTTGGAACAGTTTATTATACATAGTGGGCACAAAGTTAAAAAAATAAGTTGAAAAATACTATTTACTATATTCATAATCCCCCAAACCATGCATTTTCTCTTAACCAAAATGTCATGTTAGAATCATGTGACTACATGTGTCCACAATAGCACTTTCACAGAGTTTAAATCATTTCATCTTTATAAGACCCTCTCAGGTGAGTAAAGATGTATTACTCTATGTTTTTCTAACGAGAAACTGAGGTTCATGGTGATTTGGTGAGTTACCCCTGGTGACTCATCTTAAGTGGATTAAAGGTGAACTAAAGCTAGGACTTGAACACACATCTCTAGATTCCTTCTCCAGACTTCTTTTTTCCATCATTCTGTACTATTTCTTTTCAGGAGTTCTGTTCATTCATGGTGAGGAATCTATCTACCGCTATATGTGTTGGGGTATGATTAAGATCATGCCTGAACTGTCTTATGAGAGAAGGTGGTATGTTCCAGCAATCTACTTTTATCTAATCTTTCTGTATATTTTTTGTTTTCCCCAAAATGATATATTTTAAGCTGTATTTTGGTCATCCCAAAAATCAAGTAATGGCAAAATTAAAGCAAACAAAAAGAATGCATTCCAGTGGAGGCAAGCTAAGTAAATTTTTATTCGGCTCAATCAGACATTGCCACCTAGTGGATTACTTCTAGATAGCAGAGATAAGAAAAGATTTAGAGGAGGCTTGAAGATATAAATGAAGAATGCTGAAATAAATAGAGAATGAAGAAAGGGGAGATTTAAGACATGGGTCTGTTTACCACTTTAGAGTCTCTAGTACCCTTTTAACAGCTCATCACTGAAATGTTACCCTAGGATGTAAACTCCATGAAGGTAAAAATTTTTCTGTTCTGTTGACTACTGTGTCTCCAGAATCTAGAACAGTACCTGCCACATAGCAGGAACTCAGTGAATTAATGTGAAAGTTGATTTCTTATATTTAAAATAAAAAGATTATTTACATTTTTCCTTTCACTGGAAATTTTTTTATAATTCATATATGAAAACAAGTTTGTCAGAGTTGGTTTTCTTTTTTGTGCGTTATAGTTTTGTACCCTAGCTACTATTGTAAAGTTAGTATGCTAATATTGTGTGAAACTTAAAACAAATATTTTATTTTAAAATTGTAATGGTTTATGGAAATATTTTCATGGCTATTTTGTTAAGTTTGCTTGCCTCTTAGAAATGAGAAAGCTAATAGACATATTAGTGAAGTCAAATTTAGAAGAAACTACAAATTTTAAAAAGTATCAGGGAATAGTTCATTCTTTCTTTCTTTATTTTTATTTATTTATTTTGAGACGGAGTTTCACTCTTGTTGCCCAGGCTGGAGTGCAGTGGTGTGATCTCGGCTCGCTGCAGCCTCCGCCTCCCTTGTTCAAGCGATTCTCCTGTCTCAGCCTCCCAAGTAGCTGGGATTACAGGCGTGTGCCACCATGCCTGGCTAATTTTTTTTTTGTATTTTTAGTAGAGACAGGGTTTCGCCATGTTGGCCAGGCTGGTCTCAACCTCCTGACCTCAGGTGATCCTCCTGCCTCAGCCTCCCAAAGTGCTGGGATTACAGGCTTAAGCCACCATGCCCGGCCAGTTCATTCTTTAAAAATACAATTTTATTTTAAAGTTGGACATTCATTAAAATGACTCATAATTCAAGAATTGCAAAAAGGCATACTGTGAAAAATCTCCCTCCTTATATCTGTCTTCCAGCTACCCAATGCCCTTCCTGGAAGCCACCAAGGTTATCTTTCCATGTGTTCTTCCTGAGACTTCTTAGGTGTTTGCCTGTTTATGAGCTATTACTATAAGTAGCAACTATACAAATTATACCTATTATTCTAAAGAACAAAATTTGATGTAAAACTTAGAGTTGTTTCAACGATCATAATATGCTTTCAGTTATTAACAAAAATGTCAGTCTTTTTTGAATGAAAAATACCATTTGGTATCCCTTTGATTATATTTAAATGACAGTTCTTATTTTAGCTTTGTCAGTTGTTTAAGTTAGTTTTATAATAAATTTGTATTTGTATATAAATTATTCACACAGATTCCCAGTATGTTGGTTGACAGTTTTACTAGGTCATAAACTTCCACCATGTCATCTCGCGTTTCCATTGCCTTAGTAATTTGCTGCAATCACTACAGCAAACAAGAAAAACACAATTACAGGCATTTTACTTTCATATCAAATATTTATTTGCCTAGTAGGCCAATTTTGGCTTAATTTCTTAATTTTGCTATTAAGAAAATGGTAAAGGAAAGTCAGATACGTATTAATTTGAGAAGCCGTTCTTAAATACTCTTATAAGCCTAAAACTGTGCTAGGAACTGTAGAAATCACCTAATTAACTTAGAACATTTGTGGGACAAATTCTACCTAGGGACACACAATAAAAGGAGCTAGTGACATTAAAAAATTTGGCTCTATCTGAACACACACAGAGAAGATCTAATTATTTTTAAAAAATTACAGACATGAGATCACTTTCACTGCTGTACTTGGTTATAATGAGAAGTGATGTTATTAGCATTTTTCAGACTCTCTCAAATGCCAGAGGCATTGTGTAGAAAATTAGAGTAGCCATCAGTATCATGCTGTTGAATAACTGCTGTAGGATTTTATTTAGCATACAAACCTCTGAACCATAACTACAATGCTAGCTCAGTATTTACATTTTTAAACAAAAAGACCCAAAGTGAAGGAATCTATTGCAAATCTGTAAACTCTTTTTTGCATGAAAAAATATAATTTTTAGTTGAGGCAGCTTAAAGCTCATTGATTTGTTCCTGAGGCATCTATTTTCTCTTGATGAAAGCACAGCCGAACAGGGATTCTCGTGTCAAAGAGTATGATTTATTTATGTTCTGAATCACAGCCGCTAATGCTCACATTTCTATTAAAAACTTAACATCTATGGGAGAAAGGGACAAATACTTTCAAGTTCCTCATGAGGTTGTTGATAAGATTCTGGCATTTTTAAAGTTGAGAAAACACACTGAAAAATTGTGAGAAGAGTTTGGCTACTTTAGCATAAAAGTTACTAAATGCACCTTTAAGATGTTCATATTCTTCCTTTATACTGTACTCTATTAAAATCATATGGGTAGAAGAATAGTTAATATGAGAAAATGTTCATGTTATTTTGTTGCCTAAAAAAGGATATTAAAAAAGAACATTTAACTATATGAACCTAATTCGGTTAAAAAGATTTATATATCTTTTCATAAAAGATACAGAAAAGATATATAGGTATATATATAAAGATATATAAATTTATGTATTTATAAAAGATATATAAATATACTACATATAAAAAGTTATATATTAAATATATTATATATAATATACATATTAAAAAGAGTATGAACTATATGAACCTAATTAGTTAAAAAGATATATTTTTTGTATATATACATATATCTTTTATAAATATATCTTTATATATAGATATATAAATAAAGGTATGTAAATATATACTAAATATATAGAAGCTATATATAATTAAAAACATATTTAGTATATACATATATCTCTATAAATATATCTTTATATAAAAAGGATATATAAAGATATATAAAAGGATATAAATATGTAAATGTAAATATATAAATATATAAATATATAGATATATATAAATATATATAAAAGGATATATAAAGATATATAAAAGGATATATAAAGATATATTTATAAAAATTATATGATCTATACACATATTGATATATAGTACATATATATCTTTTAAACCATATTACATATACATTTACGTGTGTATATTTTTTAATGTATGCATGGGGAAAAACTGGGAAGCTGTACATCAAAATTTTGTCAGAAGTTTGCTGTTTGCCTCAGTTTCTTCATTTAAAAGTTAACATAATAGGACCTACTTCATAAGGTTGTTATAAAGATTAAATAAAATAATACTTATAATATTTATAAAATGCTTAGAACAATAGCTGGCACAAATGATAGCTATTATTGTTGTTTTATTTTTATGTGTGTTTGATAAAACTTGTTTTCTTTTGTTTCCTTATTTTCCTAATTTTCTATAATCAACATTACTTTTGTAACTGAGTTATTTAAAAAATATATTATCTACTTCTAGGATTCTTTAGTTCCCAAGCTCTGTTATCCAAATTTTAGAAGGATAGATAGGATCCTATCATTCTCCTTTGCAGCACAAACTGATACTGCAATTAATTAATTATCTGTTTGAGGGTTGTCTTTTCCAGTAAGCTGAAAGCTCCACTCAGTGGCGCTGTGTTGTCTTCCTGATTTTTGTTTCCTTGTGCCTAATGCTTTTCCTGTTCCAAGTCAGTGCTCAATATTTGTCGAGAGAATGAAAGTTAAGTTTATGTTCAAAGCAATTAATAGTCACTTTGTATTTGTGATTTAGTTTTATGTTTTATATCTTTAAATGATATTATGCCCATTTTGTAGATGAGAAAACTGGGCAAACTCACAACAAGCAAGGGGTGGGTCAGGATTTGAACCCAGGTAGTCTTACTAAAGTGTACTGCCGCTTATGAGAAAAATGAGGATAAATGACCAAAGCAATACTATATAAGGAATTACATCAATAATATAGGACATATGTGAAATATTTATTGGGATTAAAAAGATGAAAGCTAAGAGAAATGAAACTGAATATGTGGCACATCTAGCATGCCTTATGGTTGGGTTTGTGTGTGTACACATATCAAATGCTTTTCTTATAATTTCGCAAATAAGTAAGTTTTATTTGTATCGACTTTAGTCTTATATTTATTTCCTTATCTTTTTGTATTCCTTTTTCTTCATAAAATATATTAAGAAAAAAAATTCCTCTATAAATTAGTCCTAACAATATCTTTTTTAGAGGGAGGGGAGCTTTTAAACTAACTGCAATCTAAAGTATTATCAACATGAAGAAGTGCTAAATGGAACTTAGTTTTACTTGCCCAACATATAAATGATTAAACTTGGTAACCATCAATCGCTTGCTTCTTCTCTGAATATGAAAGCTGTGGTGAACAAGGTCTTGCTTCCACTCTCACTCCATTTTTGCAGCCCTTAATCTTTCTTTTTCTTTCTCCAGACTTTTGTGAACAGGGGCGTGGCAGAGTCTAAATATGGTAATGAACCTCTCACTCTGAAAACAGATTTAAGCAATGAGATGGGGCTTCAACAGTTAGCTAATTCTTCTTATCCTACATCATAGATGCTAATGTCTCAAATGTAAAACTTGAAAGGCAAGTGTATTCTCTGTGAGAACTCTCTTGTAATAAACTGTAAGTTCTTTTGCTTCTTTCTTTCCTCCTTTCTACCCTCCCTCCCTGCCTCTCTCCATCCCTTCTTTCTACTGCTTGCAAATATGGGCAGTGTCAATAAACAATTTACTCTGAAGATTGAACAATTGCTGAAAAAAATTAGAGTGGTTGGAGAATCAGATTCCTGTTACTGATCTCTTTGCTGTTAATTTTCTCTGTGGCTGTTGTGTGATAGCGGAGGAAGCCTTGACTGTAAGTCATAAGGTCTGGATTTCAGTCCTAAACTCAATTTCTGTATGGTTCTGTCTCCTTACCTTTAAAACAGTCGCATTAGAAATCTAAGGATCTGTTTAGCTCTAACGCTTCTAATTTTATTATATATTTTACTACAGATGTGTGTGTGAGTGTGTATACAAGATGACAATGTCAAGATTAACAGTGTTTCACAAAAATAATAGTAAAATCGAGCCTACATTGTTTTTCTTCTTTCCCCTTTACCTTGTTTTGCTGTAAACATTTGGGGGAGAGGGTAAGGGTAGTGGGAAGAGATTACTTTGAGAGAATATAATTTAGTTTATCTTCTGGCACTCTTGTTAATAATTTTTAATTAAGAAAGCAGAGTTGGTATTCAGTAACAAGCTTTATGGATGCAAACTTAATTTGTATGACAGATGTAATTTAGATGACCTCAGACTAAACAAAATGGAGATGGTTTTTGGTGGTCCTTAATTACAGAAGCCTGAGGTCTATTTTGCAGAATTTTTCAGTCCATTGAACTAATATTTATATCCAGCAAGGACTAAAAAACACATGTATAAAGGTTATCCACATAGCAATCAGGCATTAAATCCTTTCCCCTTACTGGACAAGCCTTTCACTTATTGTTCCAGGAGGGCCTGGCATGCATCCATTTATTATGGCTTTTTCCTAAGTCATAAATGATATATTGTATTAGCTGCTTTGTACCATTCTCTTGTCTATTTGTTCACTATGATCTTATCCACAGACTATGGTACATGTATTTTCATTTCCAGTTAATAAGCAGAGGAAGTGAATTTTGCAGTTGACAGAACTGCCTAACACAATATTTTCTTTAACTTGGGTAAATTAAACTATCCATTAATTAGGAATTTTTAAAAATGTAAACAGCTTACTTCTTTGTGATCAGGATAATAGGAAGTTACTATTAATAATGAATACATGTAATCATTGCTACAGTACATAAAAGATATCCGTAACTCCAAGAGTTTAGGAGCTTATTAACCCTAATTTTGTCTTTTATGTCCATATTCTCCTCTGTCCCACCCCCCTTCCCCATTGGGACCTCTAAATGGGTGGATATCTAGGGTTTGATGAGCAGGCTAGTTGTATGCACATGATAATTGGTATGTGATTCCAGGGTTAAAGTTTAGCATAGAAAAAAAATGAAAAGATTAGCTTGTTTGCAATGAAGAGAGCTGAGGCAGATAACAGAATAAATACATGACTTGTAGAGAATGTAAGAGGGAATGTGAGAGGGAGCTAATCAGTGGACTGACCTTACCTTTAAGGAAAATTATCTAATTCAGGTAGCTCTCCCTCTGAGAGTTGATTATCTTTTAGGAAAAAGTACCTTTCTGAAAAAGGCAGTGTCATATTGACAGTTGACTTTCTTAGACCAAGAGTGTGATAGGCAAGAATTTATATGAGTTATTACAAAATATTTAAGCAACTGTGTATCAGTTAGAATGGGCTACGTTGTGCTGTAGTAACAAATAGCCCCTAACCTTAGTTGCTTACAATCACAAAGGTGTATCTTTTCCTCATACCACATGTATCTTGGGTTGGCAGGGGCTCTGCTCCACATTGTCCTCATTTGAGGCAGAGCTTCCACCATCTGGAATAATGCTGCCTGGCCTGGCAGTAGGAATAAACATGACAAAATATGTTCTGAGTGTGAAAGAGTTCTCCCTAGAAGTGATGCATGTTACTTTGGCTCACATTTCATTGGCCAAAGCAAGTGTAGGAAAGGGCTGTCCCATCTTGTGCCCAGAAGGAGGAGAACCAGAAATACTGGTGAATTGCACCTCTCAAAACCAAAAAGAGTAAATAATATTTCTGACTACCATTTAGTATCAAGATTTTAAAAGTAATAATTAGGTGAGGAAAAATAGACATAGTGCCTCATTACAAAAATTATTTAATAAATCGCAGGGTCAGAGCTACCTTTTCTGATTGGTAACCACAAGCAGTCATTCTAAGAAGCGGACTTGGGAATGCATCTGTACACATCAGTTGGAGGAACCTTGACAAAACCGAAAAGAGTCTATTAATTCCACATAATCCCTGCAAAAAAGGCTTATTTCCTTTGTCACTGGGTAAAATAATTCAACACGAGTACATTGACAGACACAGGACACCACCCCTGCCAAGAATTCAGTTCAACAGACTCCAGTTTGAAAAATATAACCATATAGTCTTTATCATGAGTGATGGTTGTCTTATAATGCCCATTTTACACATGAGGAGCCGAAGCTTTAAGACATTATGTCACCTTTCCCAAGTTACACAGCTCAGAAGTGACAGAGCCTTGCCTAGAACCCATGTTCCTCTGACATCAAAGTGCATGCTCTCATCCATATACTCTGCTACCTTGCAACAAGACTGGCACAGAGAAATACCTGAACCCGGGGTGGTTCAGGAAACAGTGACTGGGAGAGAGTTAGTGTAGCTGAGTCAGCTGGACCCAGGAGAGGAGGCAATGATCTTGTCACTCTGCAAGTAATCATGCTCATAATCTTAGTAGAACAAAGAAGTTGTTTTTAAATTAGTGATTTTCTGGGCTCAGGTTCCAGAAACTCAGTTGCCTTTCCTGAACTTTGAGAGGGGTTTGTTGCCTTTCCTCGGCTTTGAGAGGGGCTTGTTGAGCGGGAGACAGGAATATCCCAGAACACAAACACCAGAGCCTTTCGTGGAAAGGAGCCCATGTCAACAGAGTCTGCATCCCCATGCCTGCCTGTGGTGGGGTGGAGGATGGGGTCGGCTTTCAGGAGCTGGAGCACTGGGGAGTGAGCAAGCTGTGATGCTGTTAGCCTGCCGCCTGTCCTAAGTGCAGCCCAAGTCAGAGCAGAGGTGCAGATGGCCAGGGCTTGTGAGGATTCTTGTAAATTGAAGACTGTCTATAATTTGATTAAGGCGCAGACAGCTAACGGATCTTTAAAGGAGTGTTTAAATCAAATCACCAAACAAGGAAGGTGGAATCTGGGGAGAATTAGAAGGCAAACGTGGTGGTGTTCTCATCAATCAGATGCAGCTGTCCATGCACTATTTCTAACTTACAAATAAATTAAGTTTATACAGGAAACTGGGAGCATATCAGATCAGCTAATTTTGGAATTCATAAGTGTAAAAATCTAATTTTGCTTAAAATTAACTACTAAACAGTGACAGGTACAATGCCAAGTTCTTAGGCAGTTGTTTTGAATCCATATACAACCTTATGAGGTAGGTATGATAATTCTATTTTAGAGGTAAGCTGACTGAAACCTGAAGAGATTATGTAATTTCCCCAAAGTTATAAAGCTAGAAAGTAGTAATGTTCTTCAAACATGTGCTTTCTTTTAAAATGCACTTCCTTAGGTGATTGTGCTCAGTGGATCAATTATTCTTTTAAGTTGAAGAATAACAGCTTTTCTTAAGATCCCTACTCAACCCATATTTTCTAGACAACCTTTGCCAGTTAACTCTGGTATGAAGCTGATGCAGAAACAACAAATCAGTATGATTTTCTCTTGCATGATTCATTCTTGTGAATGGGTATTGCATGCTTGTTGGGTCCATATTTTCTTCACATAATATTTTATTCTCTTTGGGGGTAGGAACCATAACTAAACAGTTATTTAACCCCCATTATTCTTAATGTTATGCCCTTCAATGAATAGCTGATTTTATGAAGCGTAGTTACTTTATGATTAGGCTTTTTATGTCGCTCATTAAGAGATGACTTATGACCAAAATTTTAATGGAAATCTTTGCTTTGGGATCCTGCTATCACCTAAGGTGCTTACAATTTGTTCTGAGTTATGCTACAAAATGACTACAATTATTTACCTATATTTCCATAAGCTTAAAGTTTGGAAAAGCGAAGCATGCAGGCATCTGGACCAAAGCTGCAGAGAGAAGATGACTGAAATTTGCACAAATGAAACTTACAAGTGTATTGTTTTCAGACCATTAGAAGGTATATATTTAATATAGATATATATAATAGAGTTTAGAACATTAATATATAAAATGAAAATAAGTGGGTGCAGTTTCTAGTAACTACCCAGAGAGCTAGGGGGAAGCAGCAGAAAGCATGCAGGGCAAAGACTGTTCCTTAGGCTTGAGTTCACAGCCAGGTGTTTCACTAATAGCTGTGTTACCTTCAGCAATTTATATAATCACTTTGAAACTTACTTAAAAATATTTACTACATGTTGTATGTCATTTGTAACTGCAGTGTTCTTCTTTGGATGAAATGTGTGTTAAACATCTAGACCTAAGCATGCATGCAGTGAACAATGATTACTATTATTACTACTGAAGCCCAACACAGGCTGTTTTGATGTCAGTGAATACAGTGCAGATGTCATCTTTTCCGTATTTCTGGAGAACAGATTTTGGCAAATAGGAGAACCTTAAGATATTCATTAACCTATGACAAGATTTAAAATATTTCGTTCTACTTAGTGCTCTGAGCACTCTTCCCTCCTTGACCCCTGCCATTTTGTAATATGCGCTTCCTAATGTATACATGCAAACCCACAATTATCACTTTCTTCATTTTTCTGTTCAAATTAGAAATCAGAGTAGGGAAAGATGGGAGATGGACAAAAGTGTTTGTAGGTTGTGGGTAATTTCTCGCAGAGGATCAGGTCTGTGCCATCTGTCATGGATACCTGGGCATTAGCAGTCTGTAAGGCTGCTTGAGGGGCTGGCAGCTGCCTTGCCTATTTACAAAAAAAACAGCACTTTGGAGAAGCCATATGTATATATATGATTCCAAGTTATATCTTGAACATGTCTGCTTTCTACATATCATTCATTTGTGAGAGTTGATATAACATTTTAACTGTTTGGATTAAAGTTGAACATGTTTTTTTTTTATGTTTGGATAATGAAAAGTAACAGAAATTGGTAATTAAAGCTGGGTGGGCCCTGATGAAGGAAGAGACAGACAGATCAATGAGCCAGAACAGAATCCGGAAGGAAATTCAATTACATCATAAATGAGTAACTGCCCTGATTCAATGAAGGGGTTGCACACAGAAAACTTTTTATTTTCCCTCAACATTTCATTCAAACAAGCTCTGCCATCTCTTTTTCCTGGCCCTGGCTATCATCTCAAGTCATCTTATAGCTTTTAAATCCCTGTTTTTGGTAATCAAATGGTCTCATTTTCAGATATTAAAAAGTCTAGGCCATATATATCAAAACGTTATTGTTATATGCAGTTTAATGGCTTTGTCTCCTTTCAGCTCAGGTCTGACCTATGATTGCCTCTGCCCCATATTCTCCTTGTTTTTAGATGTTTAGACTTTCTATGGTTGAGGGAATGAGGCTAGTGAGTAGAGAGATAGAGGCAAAGGCATTTTCACCTATTGCTTTTGGTGCTTTCCTGGCTATCAAATGTCCTCTTCATCTCAGGCCTTCAGATGCTGCCTCTTCTCTGATGCCACTGGAGTTCTTTGAAGATCTCCCCTGGGATTTCTCCTATTAACTTTCAGAGTCCCCCTCACCCCTGAGCTTTTACCCTAGGAGGTACAGCTCCAGCCATTTACTGTTGGGGTCCTTTTGCACCAGCAGGCAGCAGTGTTCTTGGGCTGTGCCTGTCAAGTGAAGATGACATAAGCCTAGATATCTGCTTGAATTGTTTCGCTGATTTCATCTTGAAAGAAGGGGCTGGTATCTCTCCAGGTAAGTAAAACTTGCAAACATCTCCAAAGTGGTTCACTTGGTCCCTTCTTTTCCTGCATGGCTTCACTTAGGAAAAACACCAATAAAGCATTCTCTTCCTAAAATTTTCTGTAAATAAACTGTCCTCTTAAGGAGTCTATAAGCTTTTCTAATATGGGATAGGTGTTTAGAATATGTTCAGTAGCTGGGTTTTGTAATCTTTTAATTGCTGTGGAGATGATGGATCTATTGATTATTTTTGGAACTAATGTGGATGCTACTGACTTGTTAACTCAGTTTGGGGCCTCAGCTTAAATTCTGAGCCAACACAAAAGAGTTTAATTCCACATTCTTTTTCAAATGTAATCAAACATGTTGGGGAAATATCTCTGTAAATGACATTGGAATATCTTGCTAACCATTTAGAACAAAAATAATTGATCTCTATTTGGGTACCACACACAAAAATAAATCTGAGATGGATTAAAGATTAAAATGACAAAACTGCTAGTAAAACAAGATATTGTCATCTTGGTCTGGAATAAGCCTTTCTAAATTTGATGCCAAAGGTAAGAAACAAACAGGAAAAAGAATGCCCAATTAGCATTCGTAACAATTAAAAAGTTTCACATGGCATGCACACAACACAAAAGACAAATTTTATAGTGGAGAAATAATTTGCAAAAAGGGTTACTATTCTCAATATATAATGAGATATCATTAAGAAAAATATAAATATGAGAAAAATGAAGGAATTTAGAAGTAGGCAACTCAAAAGAGAAGAAATGCAGTTGATCAATAAACATAATTAGATGTTCAGTCTTGCAAATAATTCACTTTTTTGGTCTGCTTGGAATGCTTTCCCCTTTTCTTCACAATTTTTGTAAACCTGATTCCTTTTCACAAGGGTCTTCAGTCTAATGTCCCTCATCTCTGTAACTCCATGCTTCACTTCTTACCTGCCTCTCTCTATTTGAATATAAGCTTTTTGAGGTCAGATACCTAATCTATGCCTTTTTTCCCCCAGTGCCTATTTAGTGCTTGGCCATAGTAGACTCTCAAATGTTTGTTGAGTAAATGTGTAAATAAATGAAGGAACTGATAGAACGTAAATGGAAACAATTACATACAGTATTTTCCTATTGTATTAAGAAAGGTTAAAAAGTAAGGCTGGGTGCGGTGGCTCACGCCCGTAATCCCAGCACTTTGGGAGGCTGAGGTGGGCGGATCATGAGGTCAGGAGATCGAGACCATCCTGGCTAACACAGTGAAACCCTGTCTCTACTAAAAATACAAAAAATTAGCCTGGCATGGTGGCATGCACCTGTAGCCCCAGCTACTCAGGAGGCTGAGGCAGGAGAATCACTTGAACCTGGGAGGTGGAGGTTGCAGTGAGCCGAGATCATGCCACTGCACTCCAGCCTGGGTGACAGAGCGAGACTCTGTCTCAAAAAGAAAAAAAAAAAAAAGAAAAAAAGAAAGGTTAAAAAATAAAAATACCTAGCATGAGTGAAATAACGTATTATCATTCTTGGAGGTAAAAATTAGCACAGTATTTCGGTAGGAAAATTTGGCAAGTTGAATCAAATTTTAAAATGTGTGCCTCGGCCGGGCGCGGTGGCTCACGCCTGTAATCCCAGCACTTTGGGAGGCCGAAGCGGGCGGATCACGAGGTCAGGAGATCGAGACCATCCCGGCTAAAACGGTGAAACCCCGTCTCTACTAAAAATACAAAAAATTAGCCGGGCGTAGTGGCGGGCGCCTGTAGTCCCAGCTACTTGGGAGGCTGAGGCAGGAGAATGGCGTGAACCCGGGAGGCGGAGCTTGCAGTGAGCCGAGATCCCGCCACTGCACTCCAGCCTGGGCGACAGAGCGAGCCTCCGTCTCAAAAAAAAAAAAAAAAAAAAAAAAATGTGTGCCTCTTTGACAGTAATTTAATGCTTGGAAGTTTATCCTAAGAAAATTACTGAACTAATGTACAGAGATACATTTGGTTGTGTAACAAAGTATTGTTTATGATAGGGAAAAATTACTAGCAAATGAGATGTTCATTGATAATCAGGAAATTGATATTTTGTAAAACATTCAAACAAATGAATATACTTAGTTGTTAAAAATGATGTTATAGATCTGTGTTTATTGACATAAAAAGGTATTTGTGATATAGGAGAAAAAAATTATACTGAGCAGGAGTTATTTTGATAACTAGCTGGTATAAAAAAGGTTTTTAAAAAGATCATAATTTCCTTTTCCAGTGTTATTTAATGATTCAAATGAAAAGAAAACAGTTGAAGTAATTTCTTTGTAAATTCCTTTTCCTTCTAATTTGTTTTTCTGATTATTTTCTTCATTCTTGTTACTGCCACCTAGTGGATGATGATTGGTTTGCTTTTTTATTGTTCGAGATTATGGTTTATTTTTTCCCCGAAGGTAGCTCTTTCTAAGGGTTTAAAAAAAAAATCACCAGTGGTGTGCTAGTAAACATTTTACTTCCAGCTATCCAAAGGCATTGTGTACATAAGTATACATTCATAAACTTCTAATAAGCTTTACTTATAAAGGATGCACACAATTTATGTAGAGGGAGCACATATTTTACGAGTAATAAGAAAACAGAAAATACTCTTTATTTAAATTATAAATAGCTAATTGATTATAACAAATTGCTTTCATTGCTTTTTGCTGAACTCCTGTATCTGTAGCAAACCTGTGGCTGCAGTTCAACCATGATTTGACACATGGAGCTGTATGCCAATTTATTAACCCTTTACCAAATATCATTAAATCTGACGTGTGATGTACCATTGGACTATTTCTCACCATTGTACAAATTATCTTCATTGAACTCAAATCTCTTTCAGCTTTAGCACTAAACCAAACCCTTCTTTATAGTGCTTGTAACTTTATGTTATGCAAATATTCCCACTAACGTTGATGTCAATCTACCAATGTGAAAACACAGAACCTGGATTTGGGGACAGATGCACAGTAGCACTCCATTATGTAGTATTTTCACTTTGCATATGTGATAGACATAATAGCTTCAAAGCATAGATAACGGTAAAATGTAGTAAATGTAGTAAAATAAATAGGGAGTGATGTTTAAAATGTATATTTCACTATTTTTAATATAACTTGTTTGACTATAAGTTTATATAACTTAACTATTAAAACTGGCTTGCAAAATTGAAAATTTAACAGTTGGCTTTCACAATCTTGCATGAGCAAATGCCACACCACTGAATATAGCTGTTATCTTTGCTTTTTGAGTTGTCTTTATTGTTCTGGGGAAGCTGCAGAGCCATGAAAGAGACCATTCTTTGAGCTCTAATTTGTATCTGAGCAGCATATTATGACATGTTTTATTGTTATCTGTCGTTGGTACATGTTAAGGAAGAGTAATACCATGATGTAATCCTACTCTTCCTTAACATGTGTGTTTTAAGCCTTTGAGCATCTTTTTAAATAAAAGGATGAACATGTGAAATATATATGCAAAGTTCTAAATTATTGAGCAAAATTATTATCATACAATTACTTCAACTAAAATATCTCTTAGAGATACTTTTATAAAATAATCCAGAAGGATTTACCTTTTAATATGCTTCCTCATATTGTCTCATCTGACCCTCCTACAAATCTGTAAGGGGCATATTATTATTTTCATCTTACAGGTTAGGAAATGGGGAAACAGAGAGGTAAAGTGACTTGACCAAGTCAAGAGAGATTAGGAGATTATATTAGTAATGATAATAACAGCAGCAACAGCATCACTACAGAAATTGTTGACAAAGTACCCAGGATATGCCAAGCACTATTCTAAATACACTGCGGTTATTGTTTCATTTAATCCCATGAAACATACCATAAATCTCCACTTTTCAAGTAAGAAACCCAGACCAGAGAGGTAGAGCAATTTGCTCAAGGTTACATAAGTGGGGACACTGGGGTTCAAAGCCAGATATATCTGATTCCAGAACTTAACTCCCAGAGGCACTATAATCTCCTGCCTCTCATTATTAATCTGGATTTCCACTATATTCTGCATTCACAGATGCAGGTCTAGAAATGCAGTTTAAGTTTATCCATTGTTTAGGCAAGCATAATTTATAGCTTGAATATTGTAAAAATAATTATTCATGTTTCTATTTTGCATAGTTCTAGAAGGAAATAAAGTTCTGTTTTAAGGTGTTTGCTTCTGTGCAAGATGCACAGGCCAGAGTCTCTTATGACATTCGAAGTAGGGAGATGTTAATGATGAGGACAGCCCTGCCTATTGTTCCCAAGTCTCCAGAGACTTCCAAGGCTTCCAGTCCTTACACAATTGTTGGGAGAATCCCATTACTTGTTTGTGGAGAGGATTACATACGTTTGGTTTGCATTAATTGCAGAGCTTTGCCGTTAGCATTACTCATATGAGACTCTTTCAGATAGTTATTAATTTCCATTTAAGGAAATTAAACTTTTGACATTCTCTAGAGGTCTAATTATTGACTGGCTGTTTCCTGACTCTACTCTGGCAGAGGTAGTTCTTTTGCCTTGTCGGCACTAAATCTTGACTCCTGAATTTTGACGAGGATTATTACCAGGTGCTTGGTGGTTTAATAAGCATCTCATATATGGTGAAAATAAACAAACCAGTCATAGAGATTTTATTGACATTGTGCAAAAATCCCAGTTTTTCAGTTTTTTAGGCAGTTGAAGTCACATAAACAGATTATTTATTTATTTATTTCTTCTCTGTCTCCCCCCGCCCCCGTCTTTCTTTCTTATAAATGTAAAGGCAGAAAAAAAAGAATTTAGAATATATGATAGACTGGTACTTTATAGACTCAGAAAAATGCAGAACTATTTCTATTTTAAACTCAAACAAGATTTTAGTACCTAATGGTCATCACTGTGTGAACAATTTAATCCCTTTTTCATAGAATTAAATTTGCCAGTGGATATTGTTGTCCCACCCCTGTATCCTTCCCTTTCTTCTTCCTTTGTCCCTTCATTTCTCCTCCCCTCCCCTCCCATCCCTCCCTCCCTCCCTTCCTTCCTTCCTTCCTTGCTTCCTTCCTACCTTCCTTCCTTCCTTTTCAATAACATGTCAGTCCTGGTATTAGTTCCCTCTACAGAGTTAGCAGGGCAAAAAGCTCTTTCATTAAGTTATTTTCTGAACCAAGGCAAGATGTTATTTGGACTCTATTTATACCATTTACTGTTTGTGGAAACAATGAGATAAGTATTTAATGAAAAGGATTGTGCAGCAGAAATGTGACAGCTCATATCCATTACATAGTTCGAGTATAAGCACACTACTACAAACTCTAAATTGTTAGACAGATGGTGGCTTTTGGGCTTCATTCAACAGAAAATAGCACTAATTCTCTAAACTAGCAATTCCTGGGTTTTACTACTCATTGATTTCTTAATAGATTTAATTTTATTTCACCATTAACCAACACTTATTTCTAAATAAATAAGAATAGCAAAATATAAATATATTCTTTGACAAGGTCTTTTTAAATTAGAAAAGTTTTGGTTTTAGAAATGGCAAAGTTCAGAGAATTATCTGGTAGTCTCTCCATTTTGTAGTAATCATCATACAGTATTATAAATGGAGTTTGCTTGCTGATATAAGTGTAAACTGGAATAATACTTTTGGAAAATAATTTGGAAATATATATTAAAAGCATGAAAAAATATACAGGCAATAATCAACATCTATGAATCAGTTATAGGGAAATAATGCCAAATTTGTAAAAAACTGCATGACCAAATATGTTTGTTATTGTAAAATATGTACATCTTTGGCAAGAGGTGTACAGTTAGAGTAACTATGCCCACATTACAACTATGTTAACAAGAGGCAATAAAATGGAAATGACAATGTAAGTGAAAAATAGGATGAAAATTATTCTTTGATATAAATCACATAAAGTTCATGAAAAACAAGCTACAGCTTAAACTATTTGTGGAAGAAAATATTCAATATGCTAATAGTTGCTGTGATCTACATACTTTTTATCTTTTTTAATTTAAAAAGGTCAATTATTACTTTTATAATAAAAATATGAAAAATAATAAGTGACATTGCAGACCAAAAACTAGACATCAAAGTAACCTAGGCCTAAGGATTGCAAAAATCATCTTTTACTTCTAGTATAATTAAAGATTATGCTCGAGGCAAAAGTGTTAATAGTGAAAAGACTAGAACTTTTGAGATTATATAGTCTAAATTTCCATTTGGCATGTAGATATGAGAGCGTTAATAGTAATGAAGACTAACACCTTAGCCTTTTAATTCTCAGTTCAAAATCTTTTAAACCATAAAACATTTTATTGTTTAAAAAAGGTTGTTTTTTTTTTTAAATGAATGTGAATTTATTGTGGACTTGATTGCTTAAAGAACTGTCAGTTTACACCCGGGTATTCAGAAAGCCTAATATGATGGGATTCTAGTCTACAGTGTCATGAATGTTACTTATTGAAAACAAATATGCTATATGTTGTAATATGCCAGGAATAATAAAATGTTATGCATATAATTACCAATATTTATGTGCTAATCTTTGATAATTAGTAGGGTTAGGGAGAGAAGGTAAAATGAAGGATTAGTATCCCTATTTTGGAAGCTTGTATGGATGTCATCTTGTTTTCTAAACAAATTTTCTTATAGCAAGTATAGGGATTCATTTATTCACTTATTTAATGCGTGCTTATCAATCACCTACTATGTGCCAGTTACTGTGCTTACTGCCAGGAAGTAATGGTAACCAAAACCACAAAAATCATTAAAGTAATTTCTTTTCTGCTCTTGCCCCTGAGGTGAGACATCACATTTTATACAGTAGTCCCCTCTGATTCTTGGGAATATATTTCAAGATCCCCAGGGGATGCCTGAAACCTCAGATAGTACCAACCAATTGCCATCTACCTGTGCAAACAGAGCACATTTCTGTTTGCCTTTTACCTACAAATTTAATGTCTTCTACCTACAAATTTAATGTCTTTTTCATCTTAACTAAGCACTTATCATGCACTATGGCTGTAAGTTTTTGCAGGTTGAGGTACGACAGCACAACTAGCACAAATTTCATTTTCCTTCTTCACAATTCCATGGATAGAACATTTATAGATCTTAGCAATCTCAGCATATGATTTTTTTTTCCTTCTTTAAGTTGAGAACTTTCACCTTTTCACTTAAAGGAAGCACTCTACAGCTTCTCTTTGTCACACCTGAATTGCCAGCATCACTACGCTTGTGCTTTGTGGTCGCTATTAGGTAAAATAAGTGTGACTTGAAAAGAAGCACTGCCACATCCAACAGTCGATCTGATAATGGAGAAGGCTTCTAAGTGACTAGTGGGCGGGCAGCATAGACAGCGTGGATCTGCTGGACAAAAGGATAATTCATGTCCTAAGCAGCATGAGATTTCATCACACTACTCAAAATGGCACGCAGTTTAAAACTTATGAATTATTTATTTCTTTCCACTTAATGTTTTCAGAACTTGATTGATTGATGGTAATAAATCACAGAAGTGAAACTTCGGATAAGGGAGACCACTGTAAATATTGGGCATCCCTAAAAGATTCGTTAGAAATGATCCCTAAGTCACTAGTCCCTGGGGTCCTGATGCAGAAACTGAAACTGAATGAAGAGAATGAAGTGGGTAAAGATGTTAAGTGTTCTGGGTATTAATTCAACTTAATGTAAGGTTAGGGAGGTAGGCACTACCTCTACTATGTATTATATGATTTTTTTATTGACGTTGTCTCTTAAATTATTGTATCCTCTAAATTATCTGCACTATTGCTCTTGTTTTTTTTTTTTTTTTTTTTTTTTTAATTGATCATTCTTGGGTGTTTCTCGCAGAGGGGGATTTGGCAGGGTCATAGGACAATAGTGGAGGGAAGGTCAGCAGATAAACAAGTGAACAAAGGTCTCTGGTTTTCCTAGGCAGAGGACCCTGCGGCCTTCCGCAGTGTTTGTGTCCCTGGGTACTTGAGATTAGGGAGTGGTGATGACTCTTAACGAGCATGCTGCCTTCAAGCATCTGTTTAACAAAGCACATCTTGCACCACCCTTAATCCATTTAACCCTGAGTGGACACAGCACATGTTTCAGAGAGCACAGGGTTAGGGGTAAGATCACAGATCAACAGGATCACAAGGCAGAAGAATTTTTCTTAGTACAGAACAAAATGAAAAGTCTCCCATGTCTACTTCTTTCTACACATACACAGCAACCATCCGATTTCTCAATCTTTTCCCCGCCTTTCCCCCCTTTCTATTCCACAAAACCACCATTGTCATCATGGCCCGTTCTCAATGAGCTGTTGGGTACACCTCCCAGACGGGGTGGTGGCCGGGCAGAAGGGCTCCTCACTTCCCAGTAGGGGCGGCCGGGCAGAGGCGCCCCTCACCTCCCGGACGGGGCGGCTGGCCGGGCGGGGGGCTGACCCCCCCACCTCCCTCCCGGACGGGGCGGCTGGCTGGGCGGGGGGCTGACCCCCCCACCTCCCTCCCGGACGGGGTGGCTGCCGGGCGGAGACGCTCCTCACTTCCCAGACGGGGTGGCTGCCGGGCGGAGGGGCTCCTCACTTCTCAGACGGGGCGGCTGCCGGGCGGAGGGGCTCCTCACTTCTCAGACGGGGCGGTTGCCAGGCAGAGGGTCTCCTCACTTCTCAGACGGGGCAGCCGGGCAGAGATGCTCCTCACCTCCCAGACGGGGTCGCGGCCAGGTAGAGGCGCTCCTCACATCCCAGACGGGGCGGCGGGGCAGAGGCGCTCCCCACGTCTCAGACGATGGGCGGCGGGGCAGAGACGCTCCTCACTTCCTAGATGGGTTGGTGGCCGGGAAGAGGCGCTCCTCACTTCCTAGATGGGATGGCGGCCGGGCAGAGACGCTCCTCACTTTCCAGACTGGGCAGCCAGGCAGAGGGGCTCCTCACGTCCCAGACGATGGGCGGCCAGGCAGAGAGGCTCCTCACTTCCCAGACGGGGTGGCGGCCGGGCAGAGGCTGCAATCTCGGCACTTTGGAGGCCAAGGCAGGCGGCTGGGAGGTGGAGGTTGTAGCGAGCCGAGATCACGCCATTGCACTCCAGCCTGGGCACCATTGAGCACTGAGTGAACCAGACTCCATCTGCAATCCCGGCACCTCGGGAGGCCGAGGCTGGCGGATCACTCGCGGTTAGGAGCTGGAGACCAGCCCGGCCAACACAGCGAAACCCCATCTCCACCAAAAAAATACGAAAAACAGCCAGGCGTGGCGGCGTGCGCCTGCAATCGCAGGCACTCGGCAGGCTGAGGCAGGAGAATCAGGCAGGGAGGCTGCAGCGAGCCGAGATGGCAGCAGTACAGTCCAGCTTCGGCTCGGCATCAGAGGGAGACCTTGGAAAGAGAGGGAGAGGGAGACCGTGGGGAGAGGGAGAGGGGGGAGAGGGAGAGGGAGAGGGAGAGGGCTGCTCTTGTTTTAAAGATTTAATACTGCATGTTAATCAATTTTTTGTTACCCTTTTTGAGTTGACTCTACCTGAATACCATGTTATGATGCATTATTAAGATATGGACCAAATGTTTATTCCTTCTCAATGATAATGATTGTCTTTTGAAATTTGAAATCTTAAAAAAATCTATTTTGGGGGTACAAGAGAAGATTTCTTTTTCTTTTTTTTTGGTGATGAAGCCTTGCTCTTATCCCCCAGGCTGGAGTGCGATGGCATGATCTTGGCTCACTGCAACTTCCGCCTCCTGGGTTCCAGCAATTCTCCTGCCTCAGCCTCCTGAGTAGCTGGGATTACAGGTGCCCGCCACCACGCCCGGCTGATTTTTTGTATTTTTAGTAGAGGCGGGGTTTCACCATGTTGGCCAGGCTGGTCTTGAACTCCTGACCTCAGGTGATCCGCCCGCCTCGGCCTCCCAAAGTGCTGGGATTACACACGTGAGCCACCGCGCCTGGCCAACAGCAGATTTATTATATGCTTATATTGGGTAGTGGCATAAAGTCTGGGCTTTTAGTGTACTCATCACTGGAATAGTGAACATTGTATCCAATAGATAAGACAGGTTATCTTGTTGGGGAAAAAAAAAGATTGAAAATGCAGAGTGGAACCTTAACCCTTAATGAAGCAGATTTTTTTTGAAAACAAGAACAAAAACAAAACAGGCTCCATTATAAGGTGTGTTATTTTCTGAATGAAGCAGTGCCTGCTTTCTTCCTCTCTCCCGCAGATAAAAGGGTGCTCCTTGGGCTTTAAAAATTATTTTAAAATTTGTGATGCTTTAATCAATGTTTGCCTAATTGAATTGATGTAAAGATTAAAAAGTGAAGGTTTGGGAACTTTGTGAATAGGTTATGGGAAACACTCACATGTGATAGGTAGGTATATAATATAATAGTTTATTTTACTTGAGATACTCTCTTCCTGTATTATAACTGCCTTTTATGACCAGAATTCCTACCTTAAATGTATTGATGTGTAGGAATATATGTATACTCAAATTTTCATGTTTATAAATAGTGGTGCTTCTATGGAAGTCTTGGCAGTAAGATTAAAGAGTGGAAGTACAAGAAATGTGAGCTAATAGACCTTAAGAAGATTGAGAGAATTGTCAAGCCCAGCTCCAGACACTTGTTGGGCCCATGAGGAGTATTTTTTTGTCAGCCAAATTTGAGAAACTCCCTTCTTGAAATCTGCCTCGGAACTGTCCACAATGACAAAACGCTCCTGCAATCCAGAGGCCAAGGCTTAGCCTAATTGAATGTTAAGCAGCTGAAAGAGTTTGAAACCAGAAAAAGTGTACATAGTGGAAATCCTGATGAGCCCATCATTGTGGTGGTCTCCTGTGGTGGCAATGATAATAATAATAATTTATTTAAAATAGCCAAGGTAGAGACAAAAGTTTTTGTGTATTCAAGCCAAACAACTCAGATGAATGGCACCCCCCAGACTAACTTCTGAGTAAACCATACTGTGATAACGTAAAGCCCATCTGTGTCAGGAATATCGGGAGGTGCCATTAGGCTGGAGGACCTGCATATATTCATATATTGTCCACAACCTTCTTTTGGGGTCTGGTTGTCTAGATGGGATGACTCTAGATGACATGTATGCAGGGTGGATTCTAAACCAGAGGTAGAGCAGCATTAGTGTCTGCCTTTTTTTTTTTTTAAATCTTGTGGTACCTAATTTCCAAAG
Source organism: Homo sapiens (assembly GCF_000001405.40). NCBI lineage: Eukaryota > Metazoa > Chordata > Mammalia > Primates > Hominidae > Homo > Homo sapiens. The sequence goes on from NC_000004.12 coordinate 112,960,388, forward strand.
CCACTCAAAATGACAAACATAAGTGATCTGATTATTATACCAGACGCATATAAAAAGTTTCTATTTCCTTACAAAGTTTTTCTGGCTCTCAAATGTAATCGCTGTTTTGTTTTTCTGTTGCTGTTTGTTTTAAAGAATCAGAACAAGAACTTCCCTTATTTTAAAATAAACTATTAGTCTCCGACTTCAGGCACATCACAATGTCCCAAATTAGATTGTATTTAATTCAAGACGAAAATTAAATTGAGTTAAAATAGATGAACTCTGCTTTCTTAATAAATTTATTCTTTAAAATGATAAATTAGTGATAATCCTTAACATTAACTATTTTATTTTACCATCATTTTCCTCAACTACAGCGTTTTCATAGTAATAAGATAATTTATTTTATATATTGGCTTGTCAAGTTTCCTCATCTGCCTTTCCCCTTTTTACCTTCATGACATCCCTATGAGGATATTGAGAGATAGCATCATTACTCCAATTTTACAGATAAAACCCAGGTTTAGAAGAGTTATTTGTTTTTTCATAAGGCTTGAATCAGATACTTTACAAATAATCAGACTTGTAAGGTATTTACAGTACTCAATTTCCATGTCATTCTTGTGTAGCAATTTTAGTTTTTAAACTATATTAAAAATTCTTTAGTTTTTGTAAACTATCTAAATAACTGTTTTTTTTTTTTTTGAAACTGGTGGGCTTAATAGAGACAAATAGGTTACAGACAAAATTCCATTATAAAAATATCACTGCAGAAGAGCTCAATAAGAAAAGCTATTTCCTTGTCCGGGTGGACAGCCTATAGAAAGTGTCTGATCTAGCTGCAGTGATTTCTGTGGGAAGAAAGCATCTCTGGATTAAGAAAAATATCAGTGTAACAATAACAACATAACTATTGAATGCTACTCTCATTATAGGTAGGAAAAGGAGAATATAAGGTATTTTTTTTAGTTATGTGTAGAGTAACAATTATTTATTGTTTCTATCTCAGAAATAACTACTAAAGAGAACCTTTCTTTATTTCAAAATTGCCCAAACAAAGCTACATAAATAAAGATTCTGAATATAGGACAGAATATTTTTCTGAAAGAAAAAGTGTGTGTTTAATAAATTCCTCATTTCTTTAATGTGTTTTAAATACCTTAGATTAAAATATACTACAGACCAGGACTTGACTTTAACGTGCATACCATGGGTGGAGAATACCATTTGCTTTTTGCAGATTATGACTTATATGAACAGAATAAAAGCATGCTACATTTCCCCCATTGTGTTTAGGGCTGTTGGACCATGTGTCAATGGTCCACTTTTAGTTAGCAGTTTTCTCTCCCTTTAAATTATTGTGTTGAAGATCTTCAGATGAAAATTGCTAATATGACTATAATGACCAGAGCTGAGTTTGTGAGAAGTCAAAATAATTACAGTGGTTCTCAACCCTGTCTGCCCATTATAATGACTTGAAAACCTCTAAAATATAATGATACTTGGATTCCAAAGATTCTAATTTAATTTGTTTGATTCTAATTTGATTTGTTTAATTTGTTTGGGATGGGGCCTGGGCCTAGGAATTTTTCCAAGTTTCCAAAGGATCTACAATGTGCAGCCAGAGTTAAGAATCTCTAATCTAGTCTGTGGTCTTCAAACTTTGGTTACTTTTAGAGAATGGGAATTTATTTGTTTCTATTAATTTTTGTCTTTGTTTTTCCAACTTTTATTTTAGATAACACATGCAGGTTTGTTATGTGGATATATTGCACTCAGCTGTGAGGATAGTACTCAATTGGTTAATTTTTCAACCCATACTTCCCTCTCTCTACCCTCTAGTAGTCTGCAGTGTCTATTGTTCCCGTGTCTATGTCCATGAGTAGTCAATGTTTAGCTCTCACTTATAAGTGAGAACATGCAGTAGTTGATTTTCTTTGCCTATGCTGATTCACTTAGGATTATGGGCTCCATCTCCATCCATGTTGCTACAAGGGACATGATGTTATTCTTTTTATATCTGTGAAGTATTCCATGGTGTATATGTACCACATTTTCTTTATCCAATCCACTGTTGATGGCCACCTAGGTTGACTCCATATCTTTGCTATTGTGAATAGTGCAGCCATGAACATAAAAGTGCATGTATCTTTTTGGTATACTGATCTATTTTCCTTTGGGTATGTACCCAGTAATGGGATTGCTGGGTTGAATATTAGCTCTGTTTTAAGTCCTTTTAGAAATCTCCAAACTGCTCTCTACAGTGTCTAAACTAATCCATATTCCCACTAACAGCGCATAAGTGTTCAATGGGAATTTATTAAGAAAACATATGCTTAAGCCCTACCACCAAGCCTAATAAGTCAGAAGCTATAGGGAGAGGACTTTAGTATCTGTGTTTTTAAAAGCTTTTAAGAATCACTGACTTATGGCAAGAGTAGAATGACATGATTTCATTAAACCTTAATTAGAGTTAAATTTTGGTATGGAGCCATTCAGCTGTATAAGGGAAATTATTTTCTCTGGGAATCTCCAGTAGATTCCTGCTAATCATTTGTGTGATCAAGTGTTATATTTATTTATATCTCAGATTTTTTCAGCTAATACATGAATATTTACTGATTATATACTTTTTCCATCACTTAATTTTTGAAATACTGCTTAATAGTCAATTATTTAGAAGAAATATTTAAATAGATGGTGACATGTTCCTTTAGATTCAGTTAGTTCTGACCCCATTGTCGTGGTGATATGGTTCAGCCTTCTAAGTGATTTCAAGCTTTTCCCTTCTCTGAAAGCAATATGAGAATGTATTTTGATATAATTCTTTCTCTTTCAAAGCCAAGTGTGTTTCCAAATACTTGTTGGTTTTTCTTGGTTGACTCTTAATTTTTAATGATCTTGATGATACTAAAGCCATTTACACCTTTAGAGCTTAATAATGTACAAGGCAAAAACATTCTTTTCTGGGAACTCAATCTGTTTCATGCATCTATTATTGCCTACCAACCTCTAATAGTCAAAACAGCATAGCATCAAAGGTAATTACAGCTCTTAGGTTGAGTGGGTTTGGTAAGATTACTTAGATTGTAGTCATTCTTGAAATTACAGAAATAATTTATTGGTTCAAAATTTTGATAAGTAAAAATAATCCATGGACCACAGTAGAGTAGCTCTTGGACAGTAGCACGTGTCTTGAGAAGGGGCAGACTGAATTTTTTTTCCAAGTGAATCACTATTTCTCTTCATGATATTTTTCAGTCTTGATGGGTGCTTCTATAAAATGGGAATAATAAAGCATTTGCTAAATTCTTACATAGTTCCTTCAGGGAAAAATATAGGTTATAATAATATTGATAAAATATAAACGCTGAACCAAGTCTCTATAAAATGTAATTATTTGTAAGAATGAGACAATTATAATTCAAAACATCTAACATTATTTTGAAACACAAAGTGGAAATTTAATAAAAATAACACCAACATACTAAGAGAATTTATTTCTATTATTTACGGTAGCCAACTATTTATAGTTACTGAGTCCTGTAGCCACTTCCATGATTGTATATAGTCATACATTATGTTAATGGTTACATTTTATTATTATTTGACTATATCCCTATTATTGAATTCTTATGTTATTTATAATAAAACATGACTTTTTCAATTTTTACCACCCTATTATTTCCAGATGATATTTCCTTTTTAAAATTTTTAAGGTTTTAAAATTTTTTGTGGGTACATAGGTGGTGTGTACATTTATGGGGCACACGAGATACTTTGATACAGGCATGCAGTAAGCAATAATCACATCATGAAAAGTGAGGCATCTATCCCCTCAAGCGTTTATCCTTTGTGTCACAAACAATCCAAATATACTCTTTTAGTTCTTTAAAAATATACAATTAAATTATTTTTTGTACCCATTAACCATCCCCACTTCCCCCACCCTCACCCCCACTACCCTTCCCAGCTGCTGGTAACAATTCTTCTACTCTCTGTCTCCATGAGTTCCACTGTTTTGATTTTTAACATCCACAAATAAGTGAGCACCTGAAAAGTTTGTCTTTCTGTGTATGACATTTCACTTAGCATAATGACCTCCAGTTCCATCCAGGTTGTTGCAAATGACTGAATCTCATTCTTTTTTATGGCTGCGTAGTACTCCTTTTTGTATATGTACCACATTTTCTTTTCTTTTTTCTTTTTTTTTTTTTTTGAGACAGAGTCTCGCTCTGTTGCCCAGGCTGGAGTGCAGTGGCACATCTCAGCTCACTGCAACCTCCACCTTCCAGGTTCACGCCATTCTCCTGCCTCAGCCTACCGAGTAGCTGGGACTACAGGCGCCCGCCACCACGCCTGGCTAATTTTTTGTATTTTTAGTAGAGACGGGGTTTCACTGTGTTAGCCAGGATGGTCTCGATCTCATGACCTCGTGATCTGCCTGCCTCAGCCTCCCAAAGTGCTGGTATTACAGGCGTGAGCCACCGCGCCCGGCCATGTACCACATTTTCTTTGTCCATTAATCTGTTGATTGACACTTAGGTTGCTTCCAAATCTTGGCTATTGTGAACAGTACCGTAACAAACACCAGAGAGCAGATATCTCTTCAATACACTGATTTCCTTTCTTTGGGGGTATATACCCAGCAGTGGGGTTGCTGGATCATATGGTAACTCTAGTTTTAATTTTTTGAGGAACCTCCAAACTATTTTCCATAGTGATTATACAAATTTACATTTTTGTCAATAGTATATTAAGATTCCCTTTTCTCCACATCCTTGCTAGCGTTTGTCATTGCCTCTCTTTTGGATAAAAACCATTTTAACCTGGGTGAGAGTATATCTCATTGTAGTTTCGATTTGCATTTCTCTGATGATCAATGATGTTGCACACCTTTTCATATGCCTGTTTGCCATTTGTATGTCTTCTTTTGAGAAATGTCTATTCAATTATTTTGTCTATTTTAAAATCAGATGATTAGATTTTTTTTTCCTATAGAGTTGTTTGAGCTCCTTGTATATTCTGGTTATTAATCTCTTGTAAGGTAAGTAGTTTGCAAATATTTTCTCCCGTCCTGTGGATTGTCTCTTCACTTTGTTGATTGTTTTTAACTTGACGTGATTCCATTTGGTTGCCTGTATTTGTGGGGCATTAGTCAAAAAATTTTGCTCAGACCAATGTCCTGGAAAGTTTCTCCAGTGTTTTCTTATAGTAGTTTTGTAGTATGAGGTCTGAGATTTAAGCCTTTAATCTACTTTGAATTGATTTTCATATATGGTGAGAGATAGGGATCAAGTTTCATTCTTCTGCATATTGATATCCAGTTTTCCCAGCAACATTTATTAAAGAGACTGTCATTTCTTTAATATATGTTCTTGGCACCTTTGTTGAAAATGAATTCACTGTAGGTGTATGAATTTGTTTTTGGGTTCTCTATTCTCGATGATATTTCGAATCACATTCTGATTGGTTATAATATTCTGGTTATAGCAAACAATGTAATTCTATATTCTAACTATTTTATGTATTTTATATTATAAGAATACTTATTGCCTGATTTTATAAAATTATAAAATAATTTTTTAATAGAAACAAATGTTGCAAGACATAAAAGTATTTTAATGATACTTTTAAATTTAGAAAAACTTAATTTAACATATTTAAATAAGGCTATATTTTCACATTGTTAGGTGTAGAACTTTAAAAAATCTAAATCTATAAACATCTTCAATTATAATAATTTAACAATCTGCATCAATTAGGATTCAAACTACTTCAGAAAGAAACTATGACATGTTTCCTTTTCTTTGTGAACATTTATACTATAAATCCAAATTACATTATAAATGTTTGATTAAATTGATATCTTCTAACACTCGTAAAAGATTATATCTCATTAAAAAATTGAAATATACTAAAATAATTCTTGTTTATGCAATTCGAGCATAACTCTTTTAATATATATATTTTTCATTATAAAAGTAATTCATAATACTAGCAGAACATTTAGAAAATTATTTGCATTAATCATGGTAAATACTGTTAATGTTTTGTTTTTCTTTCCAGTTCTTTTCAAATGAGTAAGTGTGTGTGTGTGTATACACATACTTTTTAAAAGCAATTTAAAATCATATATAAAAATTAATCTTTTAACTTAATTCTATAATAAGAGTTTCTTCACGTTTGTAACTGTTCTCAGAAAGTATTCCTTTATCAGTGTCACTTTTTTTTCCATTTTAAGTAGTGTTATGGTGAACATTTTTGTACCTAGAATAGATTTTTAGAGAATTAAAGGTGTCTATATTTAGATATCACAACCATAATCATATGTAAGATCATGGATATAGAAAAGATATTCTATATAAGCCTTTTTAAAACCTATTAGGAAGTTGTTTTAAATGTTAAAAAAATCTTGATCTATGATGTTTGATTGACAATGCATAAAATGCTGTTAAATCTTATTAAATATGGTATTACTCCTTCTGACCCTCTCCTTTCAGAATGGTCAAATCTCATTTTCAGCTTGAGCGAGCACTGTCAATAAATGTAAGAAAGCTTGATGAGGGCCTTGGGGGGAGCATGTCAAGCAAATTGCTGGTTCCTTTGGTATAAGAGTGATTTTGGGGTGTCCTTAGGACACATTAAGCAGTTCAGAGTAGTAGGAGAAAATATATTCTCTATAGAGAATTTAGAAATTTTCTCAGTTGATCCCTTGATGAAATAAATCCTTATTAATTTTTAATCCTGAAATATGATGGTGTTGTACTGAGTTCCAAGTAAAGAAGTAAATGTAGTGTCATCTGCACCATTGAGGAGGGTGCGATTTGTGAGACTGTGTATATGATCTTGGCTCCCCCTTGGCAGGCATAAAGACTGGATTAGCTCTTGTGCCTTCCTGGGGCTGGAAGCCAAAAGTCAAGATTAAACTAATCTAAATCTTTCCTTTTACAAGTGAGCAAAATGATGCTGAAGGAAGTTAAACTACTTTCCCAAGTTACATAATCATGTGCCAGAGCTGAAACTTGCAGCGGCAGAGCCCAGCGTAATAACCTTTTCCCTCACCACCATTTAGTTTAGAGCTTCAGAAGTATTTTTCCATTGTTCGATAATCAAAATAGTAACTTAAATGATAAAAATGGCCCATTGTTATCTGGCTTTTATCTTTTAAAAAAATCTGTGAAAAGGGTTACTGAAATGATGTATACTTTTCCAAAGGTGTGAAAACAAAGTTATCAGAGGTGTAGCAAAAATTTGTAGTAAGTCAAAAGCGTTAAATGATTGAATGTCTTCTTTAAAAAAATCCTGTCAAATCCGTATATTTTTGATGTTATATCAGTTTTTATTTTAGCTGGATCCTTCATTTTTAGCTCTTTAATCACACTCAGACAGATCTTGAATGCAAAATTGTTAGTGTGGGTGGCAGAAACAGAGAGATAGCAGCTTGCTTATTTTAATATTTAATCATTTCCCCTCTCAGCTTGAGTTGAAAAGACAAAAAGCCTGTGAATATATCAAGGAAGACTGTGGAATCCATCGTCCTTCATAAAGAAAAATCTCCTGATTGACCCATTTCATATACCATACAGACATCTTTTTTCCTGGTATTTGATAGTTGATTACTTCCACTAGTTGGTAAAATTAGATGATTTTTATGTTTTTTCCCCCAACCTCTCACCTTTTTTATTCCAGGGAGATTTGCCCAATCATGGAATGTGTAACTTTCAGAAGCATTGAACTTTTTTTCAATTGCTTATTCATTTGAAGGACTTTCCAATGAACCATTAATTATTAGCAGGTTAGTATAATTCTTGAACTGAGATCTGTATTACTTACTGCACAGGGTTCAAAGAGGTGGTGGTACCGCTGAATAATGTTCAGATGCATTGATCTTCGCAGCCACAGACTTTCTTTCAGATGTTGGGTCTCTGGCTCGGACATCTGTCACTCCCCATGGACCAGGCCCGTCCAACCAGCTGGACAGTGCCATTTCCCATCTCATCTCACCTATGCCACACCCTTGGCTGAAGATGATGGCCATCCCAGAGAAAAGAGCCAGTCTTTGGTTGAAGAATGAATTGTTCATGGAACTCTGGGCCAGATTTTTTCTTCCAGTTGTCTCTGGTAAATTTATCCTGCCACCAAAATTAAGAATAAAGGGGTGAGGATGTAGGGTTTTTGCAAAGGCACATTCCCTGTAGAATCATTGCTTTTTGTTTTTTTTTCTCTTTCTCCCTTCTCTTTTCCCACATTGTGACTGCTGTTGCCCATAGCAACCACCATTATAACATTCACAGCAGCTTTTACTACAATGTGAGGGAATCCCAAATTAGAAATTATTTGCCATTTCTATATAGGGACACAATTCTTCATTATTTAATGAACTTAGCATAGGGTTAAATCATTGAACAGTCTGTTCTGGAGAATTTAATATTTTTACTTGCCCTATAGTTGTTCATTTCTCTACTTATACTGATTTTATTGATTGTTTATACCATTTTAATTTGGTAATAGATCCCTAGAGAAACAAGGTCTTTTTGTGTCTTGGCCTCAGATTCATCCCCAAAGTCTCAGTTCAGAGTGACTCACTTCCTTACTAAAAATTACACATCAGAATTATTCAGCTAGCCCTGTGTATAGTCCAGTAACTATGCTGAGGGCCTTGTATATGTTGTCTAATCCTCAACATAATTTTGCAAGGTAGATGTTATTACCTATATTCTACTGATGAGAACACTGAGGTTCTAGGAGGTATTTTCCAAAGGCTTTATTTATAGTTAATGAATGATGGTATCTAAACCCTTCAGACCCTAGGCACTGGAGCTCTTTTTGAATCCACACTAACTCTGTTAATAAGAATTACTTGCAGTTCCACTTAGTTTTAAAGCCCATAGATATTCCCTGAACACTCTTTTTCCTGGATTTGCAACATCTCGTTTCTCTTGAGGAAGAGTCTGCCATTTGCTGACTACCTATCTACAGGCATTCATGTAGGTTGGCCTAGTCCGCAATTTTCCCTTACTTCCAAATTTCTCTCTTTAGTTTTTATCTTCCGCCTTCCTCTCTGATTTATGCCATTGGCTTCCCCCCGGACTTTAATGTTGACACCTTTTGCTGCTTCTACAAGTTCAGACTCTCCAGGGAAGGCTTAAAGAAAATGAAGACTAGGGAGGAAAAGAGTGAAAAGGGGGAAGAGGTGGTTGTGTTCTGAGCTTGAGACCAATGCTCCGAAGTGGCAGAATAGGAATTGGATAGCATGGAGGAGAAAAACTCAAGCAAACCATATCTAGCCAGTTTTTCAAAATATTTTAGGATATCTTGTTTATAGAATATTCATTCTTACATCTAACCCAAATTTGTGCTGTAGAGTGAGCCAATATCTTCTTGTTCTGTCCGTGGTAGATATGGATAACAGTTATTCAGCAATCTCCTTTTATATTTGATAATATGTATTATATTTTCTCATATGTAAGCTGAGCTCTGTAGGAGTACTTTAGTCTCACTAGTGAAAAGCATGAAAAGACTAATATCTAATTCCAAACAGTTTTTGATGCAGGCCCCTGTCATATATATTGTTTTATGTAACAATACTGTTAATCTAGAGACATATAATTTTATTATTTTTTTTTTTTGAGACGGAGTCTCACTCTGTCGTCCAGGCTGGAGTGCGATGGTGCTATCTCGGCTCACTGCAACCGCCGCCTCCCAGGTTCAAGCAATTCTCCTACCTCAGCCTCCCAAGTAGCTGGGATTACAGGCGCCTGCCACCACACCAGTTTAATTTTTTTGTATTTTTAGTAGAGACGGGGTTTCACCATGTTGGCCAGGCTGATCTCGAACTCTGCCTGCCTCGGCCTCCCAATGTGCTGGGATTACAGGCATGAGCCACCATGCCTGGCAAGACATATAAATTTAAGAGTAACATATTTGTTTGGTGCTGTCACATACATGCTCATATATGTAATTTCATTTTAACTAATTAATTAATTAATTAATTATTTTAAAGATGTAGTCTCATTCCATCACCCAGGCTGGAGTGCAGTGGTGCAATCTTGGCTCACTGCAACCTCTGCCTCCCGGCTTCAAGCAATTCTCCTGCCTCAGCCTCCCGAGTAGCTGGGATTACAGGTGTGCACCACCATGCCCAGCTAATTTTTGTATTTTTTAGTAGAGATTGGGTTTCATCATATTGGCCAGGCTTGTCTCGAGCTCCTGACCTTGTAATCTGCCTGCTTCTTTTAATTTATTTCTACATAGGTTTATTCTACAAATGTTTCAGGGCAGCTTATAACTATATATACACATATATATCTATATCTATTTAATGGTGGGGAGAGTGGGTAGATTTTGGTCAAAAGTACAAAATTTCAGTTAGACAGATGAAGAAGTTCAAGGGATCTAGAACTTGTAGAATATGATGCTTATAGCTAATAACGATGTATTGTATACTTGAAAATCAGGAAAATAGTAGATTTTAAGTGTCCCACTAAAAAAATGATAAGTATATGTGGTAATGCATATGTCAATTAGCTTGATTTAGCCATTCCACAATGCATAATATTTCAAAACATCATGTTGCACATCATAAATATATACAATTTTTATTCATCAATTAAAAATTAATTTAAAATACAGGTAAAAGGGGAAAATATAAATGGGAAATAAAAATCATGATTACATAAAATATCTTAAAGAATACTTTTAAAAAGGGAAAAAGCTGACTCATGAAAATTTAAAATGAACACGTCACAAATTTTATTTATTTTATTAATTGATGAGGAACCAGCAAAATGTTAAAAACTGGTCCAAAGAGCACTTGATTTGTATTAGATTTATTGCAACTTATTATTGCTGAATTAGATGTAAAATTGGTTAATGCCCAACAGAGCCATAAAGCATACCTTAGGTTCCAGCAGACAGACTTTATTCGCATTTCTACTGCAAAAAATCTACAAGGTAACCTCTGTCCCAACTGAGTTGTAAACAGCCACTAAGTAAAAGTTAAGCCCAGCACTGCACTAAAAGCATACCTAGTAATCTCATTTGCCTATTTCCGAGATTCAGACAATTTTTCTGAGAAATAATACAAAATTAGTGTGAGGAACCAAGACCAATATGGAAAATAGAACATAAGTACGTAGGCTATAAGGGCATATTGTAATTGCTGTTTGAAAAGTGTTGTGAATTTTCTGGCAGGCAAAGTGAATAGAATATATAAAAGGCTAGAAGTCTTTATGGTTGGAAAGAAGAAATACATTGGTTCCTTTGTTGGAAAGAAGAAATACATTGGTTCCTTCAGCAAAGGAACATTTTTTCTTTTAAGAGAAAGACAAGTTTATCTTGAGGAGCTTCATATTGGGGGTGGAGGGACAGGGACTTGGAATTACACACGCCATGGTCCTCAAAAACAGCCTTCTGGCAGGTGCAGTAACAGATGTCATAGGGCTATTTCCTCAACGTACCCTATGATGAAAGACTCAGACATAACATTAAAATCCACCCAGGGAAAATGATTCCAGTGAGGCAATGGTAGAGTGAGAAAAAAGTGAGCACAAGATAATTATCTGACTTTAAGATGCACCTACTTGAACCATCTCTGGCAATTATTCATTATCAAAGAGATGTACAAGAATCACTCAAGGATTGGTGGGCCCCTTTTACAATTCTGCCAAGGGTAGTGTTAAGGGAGGAGGAGTGGTCTTGCAAGGGCAAGAAAAATAAATTGATATTTAAAATGTATGTAGCATAGTGCTTGGTATAAAGTCAGTGTCCAATAGACTGTAGATGCTATTGTGATCACTGTAATTATTATTATTTTTTATTTTACTTTAACTTCCAGGATACATGTACAGAATGTGCAGGTTTGTTACATAGGTCTACATGTGCCATGGTGGTTTGCCACACCTATCAACCAATCATCTAGGTTTTAAGCCCTGCATGCATTAGGTATTTGTCCTAATGCTCTCCCTCCCTTTGCCCCTCACCCCTCAACAGGCCCCGGTGTGTGATGTTCCCTTCCCTGTGTCCATGTGATCACTGCAATTACTACTGTTATTATGTAAAATTTTCTGTGCTTCTTAGACATCTACGTTTGGATGTCAGGTAGACTGAAGTTTAGAGGAGACCCTGGGCCTGGTGGTAAGTGTTTGGGAGTTGTCAGTGTACAGGTGTTATGTTAAGCTGCGGGAGGGCCTGGGTGAGAAGGTTTAAGAGGTGCCCACGTACACGGGACGTTACATATAGCAAATATGGGGTGTGATAGTAATCTAACACCCTTCCACAAATATAATTTCCTCAACAAGACTTTTTCCAGAAAAAGAAGTCATTATTTGAAAAAGACACATGCACACACATGTTTATAGCAGCACAATTTGCAACTGCAAAGATATGGAACCAACTTGAGTGTCCATTGACCAACGAGTGGATAAAGAAAACATGGTATATATATACCATGGAATACTACTCAGCCATAAAAATAAATGAAACAATGTCTTTTGCAGCAACTTGGATGGAGCTGGAGGCCATTATTCTAAGTGAAGCCATTCAGGAATGGAAAACCAAATAGTGTATGTTCTCACTTATGAGTGGGAGCTAAGCTATGAGGATGCAAAGGCATAAGAGTGACATAATGGGCTTTAGGGGCTTGAGGGGTAAGGCTGGGAGGGGAGCGAGGGATAAAAGACTACTTACTGGGAACAGTGTACACTGCTTGGGTGATAGGTGCTTTCAAAATCTCAGAAATCACCACCAAAGAACTTATCTGTGTAACCAAAACCCACCTGTACTCCAAAAACTATTGAAATAAATCATTTGCATTGTAAAAAAAAAAAAAAAAGACTTTTTCCAGGGAAAGTAACCTTAACCTCAGAGATTGAAATGCATGTCTTTCATGATTTTATTTTGAAAATTAAGAAGATGCAGTTTAATTTTCACAAAACTCTAGCAAATAGGCGTGGCAGAGCATTTTTATCACTCTTTATAGTTGGCAAATTAAGATATACTAAGATATAAAAGCAAAGTGATGTGCTCAAGATGTTCGTGTATGTAGCAAATGGCAGAGTTAAGTCTTTGACTGCAGAGCTTCTGACTAGTTCAGCGCTGTTCCATCTTCTCTTTCCATCCTGCTGTCTGTTCTCTCTTTACTGAGTTCAGTTGCATTGCTTTTGATAAAGGATCAAAATGGACATGATCATAGAGAGCTGGTAAGTGTTTTCTCAGATGCTATCCTCTGCCTTCCTTCCCAGCCTGGCTTTCTATGCAAACTTAATAAGCATGTTTCTTCTGCTGTAATTTAGGATAGTGACTGAAATGTTAAATAATGCAGATGCAAGGCCACTTCTAGCTATTGTTTCTTCAGTCCAAATGGTCATACTTTGGGTGATGGGTTGTGTAAAGTAGCTGGTTCTCCATTAAGGAGCTGAATTAAAACCTGAAACATTTCATGTGGGCCACTGCATTGTTGTTAGGGGTTAGCCACAGTCCATCTGACTGGATAGATGGCGGAAAGTAAGGAATGTTTTATTACAATCCAAGAAAACCCGAAACTACTCATTCTACAAGCTATCACACTAAAAAGCAAGTCATTAAAAGGCATAATAATTAAAGCAGTGCTGTACACTGACCTTGTCACTTGATTCTCTGAAACACATAAATTGTTTGCAGCATCAGTCAGCTTTTGATTTGTAGTGTCTTTGAAAAACAATTTAAATTATGTATTGGAAAGAGGCCAGGAGACCCATCTGCTGGGAGTTTGTCTTTCTAAATTGGGTGCAGTGGGTAGTGCTGAGGGGAAATGACACACCTCTCTTATGAATATTTTCATGAACCTTCTCAGTCTCTAGAGAATCCACCCATGCACTGTTAAATTGTGTTATTTGTGGGAACACAATGACAAGGGCCTAAATTGGAAAGCAATACAGATTTAGCAAGAAAATGTTTTCCATTAAAGGGGGACCTGCTAATTTCCTGTGTCTAATGTAAAGAGTGAGAGGGATTGAATCAACTACAGCATCAAATGCTAACCCAAAAGGCCTACTTTCTTTTGTTACTAAATTAACATACTACCTGGTATTCCATTTAGATAATCACACATCAAAAAACAGAATTGTAAGATTTCTGTGAAGAGAGGGAAAATGAAGTAAAAGGAAGGAAGAGATAATATAGTTGAACTTGGACCAGAGCTGCTGCTTCCTCCATCTTCCCACTGGAAATCAACAATAGCAGTAGCATTCAGAATTTATTAAGTGCTTTCTATGCATCAGGAAGTGCAAATGGATTATCTCCTTTATCCTCAGGAAAATTTCATTATTTCACTTTGTAGGAAAAGGCAATGAAGTTTAGAAAGATTAACAAATTGGTCTAAATTTCCCTAGCTAGTTTTCTGTAGAGAACTTGCATTCTTCATAGAAATGTCTTCTCTGTTTTTTTTCCTCTCCTCATTTAGCTCCTATTTTTGTCCTGGTAAAAGTATAGAAAAAGAAAAAAAAAAAAAGTGAACACAGGCGTGGCCTATGCCTGCTTGAAAGTAGGAAAGAAGGATTATCGAAAGGGGAGAAAATGACATAGAAAGGAATTTTTCAGGTTATCTAAATTGACGCTTTCATTTTCAAATGGGTTAACTCTAGTTTCAAGATAACAAAGTAAAACATTTGCTAAAAAATAAATCTGTATTAGAACTGTTACCCACTCTCAGCCCAGTCCCTTTCATATATCACGTTGCTTTTCATCCAGTCCGGGAAATGCCCGTTTTTCCCTTTTGAGAAAAATCTATGTCGGCACTTACCTGTCTGAGGTTATCTTTTGGTAAAGGAATATACTGCTTAGGAACTTCCATTTAGCTACCGGTAAACTATGAGTGTATTCTGTTGATGTTTCTGTTCACTTAGCAGGAATCATAATTTTCCTAAGTTCATGATGATTATTATTTCAACAATTTTATTTATTTTTTGCTAGAATGAATTTGAAGATGCCAAATGTTCCTTCAAATAAAAAAAATCTCTTCAGTACTTTCAGATTATCAAGTATGGTTGAGGTATATATGAAGGTTACTTGAAAGGAAAAAAAATATTGGATCCTAAAAAACATTTTGGAAAATATTATACACAACTTTAAATAATTTTTCACTGTTTGATGTATTCAGTATTACACAAAAATGGGTTTAATTAAACTGAAGGAAATAAATCAAAAGGAGAGGGCTGGCTGACGGTTTTATCCAATGTGACCTAGGAATTGAAAGCAGATACCATCAACCACTCTAATTTTTATTTCTTCTATAAATAAGATGCAGCAGGACTGGAAGCAAGTAATCTCCTTCTTGCAGTCCTCCATTCCTTTCTTTTTTTGCCCAAATGCTTCCCTTTAATTTTGACAGTAATCAGGTAACAGATCTCTGAGGCAGTTCCTCTGTATTATGATGATCAGATATATCATTTAAAATATCAGATTATTAGATTAGAGCTCCAGTTCATTCCTTTTAAGGGAATTTTTTAAAAGTGATAGATGGGTACCATCTATGGGTACGTTTGGATATGATCAATCTGTGTCTGGTTTTAGTTTATGTTTAATTTGTTCTTACTCAGAAAGCCTCAGTTGCCTAAGTAGTGGCTCCTATCTTATATTTAATTGGTATTTTTTTCAATTTGAAAATTGAATATGCTCACACATGCTCTGACATTTTTTTTCATTTTATGTCGTTTTTTTCCCTGCAATCCACAAATTCTCTATGTCTTCCTTTTGTAAGCATGCTGGTGTGAAACAGCTTCAGTGACAAAGCAGCTTAGGAATTAAAAGAGTTTATCATACATAGCCCTAGGTATTACTGGCTGTGGAATTTTTTTTTTTTTTGGACAAAATCTGAGTCTGTCATCCAGGCTGGAATGCAGGGGCACGATCTTGGCTCACTGCAACCTCCATCTCCCAGGTTCAAGCGATTGTCCTGCCTCAGCCTCCTGAGTAGCTGGGATTACAGGTGCACACTACCACGACAGGCTAATTTTTGTATTTTTAGTAGAGATGGGGTTTCACTGTGTTGGTCAGGCTGGTCTTGAACTCCTGACCTCATGTGATCCTCCCACCTTGGCCTCCCAAAGTGCTGGATTACAGGCGTGAGCCGTGGCACCCAGCCTGGTTGTGGAATTTTTAGCTAACTACTTCTCTGAGAGGCACATTCCTCATCTGCAATATGGGAATAATTGTAGGGCTGTTTCATTCAGTAGTGTATGAGAACTGCTTAATTAATTTTAAAATGAAATGTAAACTGATAGTAGAAATGTAAGGTGATATTCATGCTGTATTTGCTTTTTTTTTTTTTCCTAAAGACATCCATTCCAAACCAGAGAGGTTTGCACTTTTTTTTCCCCTTTAAGAGAGCTCCCAAAACATTACGCTTAGTGCTGACTACTTCTTTGTGACCCTGCTCTACTTTGAATCTACCTTTACAATTAAGTCTGCCCTTAGAATCTTTACCCACAATGCAGAGATGTATTTAAGTACATGTTTATATCCTCCTTGGACTCATTTCCTTGAAAGCAGGTAGAAAGGGTGACCTCACTTATCTTTGCATCCCTAGCATCTAGCGCTGGGGTTTGTCAGTTGTAAGTTCTTGTAAGTCCCTGTTGAACCAGATTTAATTCAGAAGACTAGAAAGCAGGAATTCTTTGTTCCACTCTTTCATTTGGTTCTCTTTTCTTAAATGAAGCGGGGTTTGCCTTTCTAAAAGAATGGTTTATACTGGGCCACATGTTTACTGATTTTTATGAAAAGAGAAAGTAGTAGGAATTAAATTGTATTCATGTAACTTTCTTTTATCTTTACTGTAATCTTAAAAAAACAACGAGTTGATGATGTCAAATTGCTTGGCTGTTTTCTGTGTGGAAAAAATTACTTTTCAGTTATTTATTATGAATTACCTTTCTTCTTTAAATAATATTGTTGAAATTAACAATAGCAGGGTACATTTTTATTCCAACAGGGTACAACTAATTAGAAAGTACTTTGGGAAATTCAATTTTAAGAAATGTTTTATATTAATTTTAAGATATAAAGAAAATTGAAACGTGAATTTGAATTGAGTGTAATGTCTTTCATGAATTTCTTTTAAGTGTGATTATTATTTCTAATATCCACCTTTACTCAATTCTCCTTTAAACATTTAATAACCATGAATAAATAAATTAAAAAAAATTTTATTTATTTTTATTTTATTTTTTTTTTTTACTTTAAGTTCTGGGATACATGTGCTGAACATGCAGGTTTGTTACATAGGTATACACGTCCATGGTGGTTTGCTGCACCTATCAACCCATCATCTAGGTTTTAAGCCCCACATGCATTAGGTATTTTTCCTAATGCTTTCCCTTCCCTTTCCCTCCATCCACCTACAGACCCCGGTATGTGATGTTCCCCTCTCTGTGTCCATGTGTTCTCATTGTTCAACTCCCACTTATGAGTGAGAATATGCAGTGTTTGGTTTTCTGTTCCTATGTTAGTTTGCTGAGGATGATGGTTTCCAGCTTCATCCATGTCCCTGGAATGAATGAATTTTTAAATAAGATTCAGGCAAAAAATAATTATTAGTCTTTTTATTGTTTTCTGGGCTGGGTGTGGTGGCTCACGCCTGTAATCCCAGCACTTTGGGTGGCCGAGGTAGGTGGATCACCTGAGGTCAAGAGTTTGAGACCAGCCAGGCCAACATGGTGAAACCCCATCTCTACTAAAACACAAAAAATTAGCCGGGTATGGTGGTGAGTCCCTGTAATCCCAACTACTTGGAAGGCTGAGGCAGGAGAATTGCTTGAACCTGGGAGGCAGAGGTTGCAGTGAGTCGAGATTGCGCCATTGCACTGCAGCCTGGGTGACAGAGCAAGACTCTGTCTCAAGAAAAAAAAAAAAGTTTGTTTTCTGTTAGTTTCATCTAAAAATTTCTCTTCCTAGGAATTCTCAATATAATTTTGTTCCACTTTTTTGTATCATAGTAAGATATACTTAAAATAAAACTTCCTATAAGTGTACAGTGGATTAAGTATATTCACATTGCTGTGCAACCATCACAATCTAGAATTCTTTCATTTTCCCAAACTGAAACTCTGTACACATTAAATAGTAAGGCCCAGTTTCCCGCTTTTCTTAGTCCCTGGAAACCACCATTCTCCTTTCCAACTCTCTGAATTAGGTTATTCTAGGTACATCAGGTAAGCAGAATCATAGTATTTGTCCTTTTGTGCCTGCCTTATTTCACTTAGTGTTATGTCTTCAAGGTTTATCGACCTTGTGGCATGTATCTGAATATCCTTCCTTTTTAAGGCTGAATAATATTCCACTGAATCTCTATGCCACATTTATCCATTTACCTCTCAGTGGGCATTTGGGTTGTTTCCATACTGTTAAAGAATTTCCCAGTGACTTAATGCTTCTAAGCCTATAATTTTACCAATTTGAAAATGCCTCAGCAATGATGAATTTGGCATAGTCATTTGACCTTTTTACTCTAAAGAGACCACAGAATGTGCTCAGGGTGCTGTTACTGGAGCCAACTGTGTAGGCTCATATCTTGACTCTGTAGATCACTAACATGTGAGCTTGAGTAGATTATTTCTCTGGGACCAGGTGTTCATATTTTGCAATAGAAATAATAATAGCATAACAATGTCACAGGATCCTTTGGGTGTTGCTTTTCCAGCCGGAAACCTCTGTGGTCATCAGCACCTTTGCCTGAGTTTTGCTCAGGCCTGCTGGGCTCGTTCTGCCCACTTGGCCCAGCAGGCTGTGCTTGGCTCGTGCTACCAGCCCAGATCCCATATCTGCCAAGGGCGAGCCAGGTGCAGAGTGGCGAGGGGTGTGTGAGTGAGTGTGGGGTCCGACCACTGCGCAGTCAGGTGTGCCGGCTGCAGCAAGGCAGGCAGCTCCAAATGCTGGTACAGGTGCCAGCTCCATGCGAGGCTGTGGCTGGATCAGGTGTACCGCAAGCAGCTTCCAAGGTGGGTACCTGGGAACACGGTGGTGCCTGGAAGCTTGGAGATGCCAGGGACTGCGGAGCCCCAAAGATGGTGTCACAGCCCTCGCTCGGAGAGCCCCTAGGTCTGGGCTCCCCAAAGGGCTGCAGCTCTTTTCTCCTCATCACCTGCCACCTGGTGAGCAGGGGGCAAGTTTCAGCCCTGTTTGTCTTACAGTTCTTTCAGGCTTGCCAAATGGCAGGTCCCAAATTCTTGGTGGGTTCCAAATTCTTGTCCCATGCCTAGGAAGAATGAGGTATGTGGACAACTGGAGGGTGAAGAAGGCAGAGAGGAGCTTCACTGAGCGACAGAACAGTTATCAGGAGACCTGAAATGGGTAGCCATTTTCTGCAGGCAGATTGTCCTGACAAGTTTAGGACATCCGAAGTGGGTAGCTCCTTCTTGCAGCTGATAGTCCTGACATCTGTGTGAGTCTGGCTGGGTCCGGTGGTTTTTACGGACTCAGGAGGGAGGAAGTGCATGTTGATTGGTCCATGGGGGGCCATGGGCGGGCTCGGAAAAAGCATGATAAGTTCTCACTTTCCGAGGCAGATTCTGTCTGGAACTGGTAGCCTGGCCCCAGGCTTCAGCCCCTCCCTGGCTTGAAGGTGAGATTTCTCCGGAAACCCGCCCCTTTCCGCCCAGTAACCAGTCTCCCTCCTGACATCAACATGTAGTCCACGCGCCCAGGCTGTTTGTGCTGAGGGTTACCTTTAGGCCCAGGCAGAGCTGCCCTCAGCCACTCCCCTGGCCCCTCTTCCACACTCGTCAGTGCCCAAAGTCCAAAGGGGGCTGAGGCAGCAGGGGGCTGGCATGTCATTCCTGCCCCCAGCACGTGCACACCCTGCTGTGCTGCGACAGCACCTGGGCTCGGCCTCAACTTTGCTCCACACCGGAGGGGGCGCCGAGAGTGGGGATAGGCCAGGGAGTGGGAACAGGCACTTCTGAGCCTGCAGGTGGAGGGGCTTACCTGGGTTTGGAGCTGTGGCTGTGTGGCTGCAGCCTGACCGAGAGCGTGGGCTCCTGATGCAAACTCGGTGGGGTTGGGGCTCCCCCTGTTCTGGGCTCCCTCTGGCCCCATGGAGTGTGCAATCCCGGCCGCACCGCTGCAGCCAGCTTTTTCACAGCGGCCACTCTGGATGGGCTGTCTCTGCCATCAACAATAGATTGCTGTGAATGGCAAATGAAGAAGGACATTTAGTTCTGCTTGTGAAAAAAGTATCGCAAATGAGAACCCTTCTTAACTATGTCCTTTAATTCATTTAAACATATATGGACTGAATGCTGTAATCAAAATATTGTTTAAGTGCTCTAGCAAATGCTAACAGGGCTGTAGTCTTTTTCTTTGAGGTGCTCAGGGCAGAATATATTTCTGTTACTACAGCTGACTATAAAGTACAATTTTTAAATTGTGAAATTTTTAATTGAGAGAGATCATTTCAGAATATAGGAAATTGGGAAAGATTTCAGTCATAATGGTAATGTTCATGTGTCAGAAGCAAGCGTGTGTTTCATTTAATTCTTGTGAAAAATATGTGTAGCAAATTGGAAGCTTATGATTGGCTGCTTAATAACACATGAGGGCAGTAAGTATCAGAGAGGTTGCCCAAGAACTTACAGCTGATAAGAGGCAGAGTTGAGTTATAAACGAAGATCTGCGTGATTACAAGGCTTGTATACACTTGTGTTCACCATTTCACTACATCGTGCCTCAGGCTGAAAGTGTAACTATTTGAGATGGATCTGGAAGGAGTTGTAAGGAAGAGTGTGGAGGAAGAACATTTCAGATAACAGTGGCAGAGATGTGCTCAAGTGAAGTGCATGCTCAAGGCTCCACTGGCATATGATTAAGGGAAGGATGAGTTGGACAAGTAATTTGGGTATGAAATTGCGGAGTAGAAATCCTAGGCAGAATGCCAGTTGGTGTTTGAATTGGTAGGCAATGGCAAGATATCAGAGATTTATGTACAGAAATGTCACAGTTGCCTTCATGAAAACTAACCAGTGGAAATACAGGCGATGAAGAGGAGGAGGAGAGAAGCGGATTGAGAACAGTTAGGAGGCTGTTTGAAGAGTTTTATGGGAGAAGGTCTGGATTAGGGTGATAACCTGGAATGAAAGCGACCTTGCAGAGGTGGAACCATGGGATTTAGTAACTTCATGGATGAGAAATAAAGGAAAGAATGACAGACTAAAGTTTCAGGTTGAGAGGACGAGTAGGGTGATGGTTCTTTTAACAGGTGTAATAAAATCAGAAGGAGAAACTGGCTTGACAAGAATGTAGTGAATTCTGTTCTGGTAGTGGAGTATTGCAGTTAGTCCTTTTGCTGATATACCTAAGGAAGAAGCATAGGAAAATACCAACTTTAGTGGAAAAGTAAAAAGATGCTGCAATATTTGAAGGTCTAAAGAAAGGAAGTTTGGGCTGGAGATAGGAATTTGGAATTGTGAAGTAATGCCTCTTTCTTTAAAACAAATCCCCAAATTCCAAGATTGTGTGGGGGCCAGATTTTGTGACCCTAATGATATTAATTCAACAATCATAAGATACAACTTCCTGGGTGTGGGGGTATGAAGGGGTTTCTGTCCCTTTCAACAGTAGTCCCTATCAACATGATGTTTATAGAAGCAGTGAAACTTTGATTTTGACACAGAGAACAGCAGTGACCCTTCCCTTAATTCTTTCTAGTTAAACTGAGACAAGGTTTAAATGTTTAAAAAAAGCTTCAGCAAACTCAGCATTTCTCAGTGTGTTCTGCGAAAAATAGATTTTTGGCCTGTGAATTAAAAAAGAGTTTGGAAATGCTGGAGTTAAAAGAAGAAAAATTTTTTTTTAATTATGAAAATCTTATTTTATTTTACTTTATTTTTAAAATAAACCATTTTAGAAAAATGGCTCTAGTTAGAGGTGAATAATCTCCAGAATTAAATTTTGAGACATGCCTATCATCTTTGACAAATGCTGAAAAGTCAGATTATTCTGTAGAATTATCAATACAAAGTAATCAAAAAGGCGGAGTAATGTAATCTGTATGAAGAATATGAATTTAGCCAATTCTGAACATCCACTCGGTAGCATAAGCAGATAATTGTTCTCAACAAATGAAACTTTCTAATTTTAAAAACACATAGTTATTGCTGTGTTCTTGAAAAATAGAATTGAGTTGATACAAGAAATTTAAAAAAATTATTGAAGTTATTTGGTAAAATATCTTAAGCTAAGGGGGAACTTATAGTGCCTATGTCCTAGAAGAAAAGTTGAAGAGAGCTAACAAGAGATTAGAAGATTCAGAGAGGATGGAGGGCACTGCGGGTGTGATCTGTGACTCTCATGTGACCAATCAATCCCTGTTGGAAGCTGGGCCCTGTAGATAGGGAAAAATGACATAAAAACTAGTCAAAGTCAAAATTATACTACTAAGAACATACTGTTTACACCTTTCAGTTAAGCGATTCTAAAAAAATCCCATAATTTAGTATACATTTTGTGGCTCCTCCTGGTGGTTCAAGAAAAAAAGAGAGATGAAAAAGCTGTTTTGCAATCTGTGCAGTAGAATTCATTCTTTCAACCCTTGTTGTTGGTTACAGAACTGTTTTATACTCTGTTTGAAGAATGCAACAATATACACCATGGCAACCAGTGCATCTGATGCATACCGCATTTTAGCCACCCAACAAGACTAATAATATAATAGTAACTATTTTTTATTTCTCTCATTAACTCTTAGCAGTATTTTTAGCCATCTTTAAAGCCAAAATTCTCTTTTATTATCCTGAAGAAAAACGGTCATGCTGAATTTTAAAATAACATGAATTTCTGAATATAATGGGTAAATTTCTTCACATTGTTAACGTATTTCATTGCCTTCAGCATATTAGATTCTTTCTTATTTTCTAATTCATATGTATGTTATAAAATAATTATTTAGGTAGTGACAAAAATAACTATGCTCCATTAGCATTTGGGTTCATTAAATCTCTGTTTATCTGAAGTGTATAGACTTCTAACATTATTGGGTTAAAAAAAAAAAAAAGAGGCCGGGCGCAGTGGCTCACGCCTGTAATTCCAGCACTTTGGGAGGCCGAGATGGGCAGATCACCTGAGGTTGGGAGATCGAGACCAGCCTGACCAACATGGAGAAACCCTGTCTCTACTAAAAAAAAAATACAAAATTAGCTGGGTGTGGTGGCCTGTAATTCCAGCTACTCGTGAGGCTGAGGCAGGAGAATTGCTTGAACCTGGGAGGCAGAGGTTGTGGTGACCCAAGATCTCACCATTGCACTCCAGCCTGAGCAACAAGAGTGAAACTCCGTCTCAGAAAAAAAAAAAGTGCTAGACAAAAAGAATTGAACTCCTTTTATAAGATTTATCTCTTCCTGTTTTCTTTTCTCTTTCTCCATATCTTGATGAATAAAATAGAAGGTAGGGTGAGATGGAGCTGAGTTTTAGGAGAGCGGACAGCTGTCTTTCCCTTTTCCTTCTCTTCATTGCACTTACATGATTTGGTAGAAACTTCAGGAATTTTAGATACTTTGGGGTCATTATTCAGCAACTCAATATTTTACTGTTAGATGTATGAATTTAATGAAGACAAAGTCTGATTAACAGAATTTATCTGTATTTTCATCATTCTTGACGAAATAATAATGATAATTTGACATCCCACTGCCTAAAAACAACTTAAAAAGTTCTAGACAAACTTTTGCCTGGGAGAGGCTCAGCCAGTGTGGAATCATAACCAAAAGTTTTGTACACTATGTTCATACTGTGCTTAGAATTATAAAAATCTATTTATTTAATACTTATATCAACTGTATAAAATGGAAATTAGTATCTTGGTTTTTCTTATTGTATGGGGAGAGGATCAGGAGGTTTGGTCAGCGTATTGGTCCGTTTTCACGCTGCTGATAAAGACATACCTGAGACTGGGCAATTTACAAAAGAAAGGTTTAATGGATTTACAGTTCCACATGGCTGAGGAAGCCTCACAATCACGGAAGAAGGCAAGGAGGAGCAAGTCATGTCTTACATGGATGGGAACAGGCAAAGAGAGAGAGCTTGTGCAGGAAAACTTCCTGTTGTAATAACCATCAGATCTCATGAGACTTACTATCACAAGAATAGCATGGGAAAGACCTGCCCCCATGATTCAATTACCTCCCACCAAGTCCCTCCCATAACACGTGGGAATCCAAGATGAGATTTGGGTGGGGACACAGCCAAATCATATCAGTCAGTATATAAGAAGCGGGGTAGAGATCTGAGCCATAATTCAAAGGCCAGGTCTTTTTTACTATGGCTCTGGCTTCCTGTGTAAAGAATAAAGAGGAATGGATGTGTAGAGCCACAGAAATTTACCCAATCATGAGAGGTTATTGACTATTTTCCAAAATGCTTTGCTGTTAAAGTTCATTCTCATGGTCAGAAGTGAGCTCATGCATTCAAACCTGGGAAAACATTTAGATCATCTTTGGACTGAGGCTGCTCAATTACATTACCAGTGTGTGTTGGGGTCAAATGTAGTACATGATAAACTGAGCTCAGTGGACTAACTCCTTCTGTATGGCTTGAGTTCCCCTCCACCTGGTTCAACATTTTGTTATAAAAAAGTTACAATATGCAGAAAAGTTGAAATAATTGTATAGTGAATATTTATAAGTCCGTCATCTAGGTTTTACAATTAAACTCTTATGTAGCTTACTTTAAAAATAATGGTGATGTCATTCAAAACTGGACTGTCCACCTGTATCTGCTGCTATGAAGACAGACATATCTGTATTTCTAACCTGTCTACTAAATTATCTAAGGGCTTCCCTCAAAATATCCACTTTTAAAATACTATTCTATACCTAACCTAAACCACTCCAACTGAGATATAGTTCCAGTTGAGTGTGTCAGCAAACTTGTCGTGTTTGTTTTTCACAGGTAAAAGATTTGCATTACAATTAAGTTACCACACAACACCCACCTACACCAACACATTACAAATGCTAACTGTGAGTCTATTTGCTTCCCCACTTCGCTCATTTCTTCTAAGGGTGAAAAATAGGCAATGAGAGCAGAAAGCCTTCTAGGGAAGTCTCTCTCATAGTAGTGTGTTTCCCTTCTGCATCTCTTTTGTGGGTTTTAACAGAAAGAGGCTGCTTCTTAAAGTTTGTATTGAGCACAATCCTGCTCCATATTTGTCAAGTGGTTCTCATCTGAAGATTTATGAGGGCATTAGTTATACCATAGGGACCTGGTTGGTTTCAGTGTTAGTTCTTTGAAGCTACTAGCTTCAGAGGACAATGTCCATATTTTAATTTAGTAATATGAAAGTCTGCCTTTAGTCTCCTTATTCAAGTTTTTGGGTAGACTTTCTGATTATGCTCCATGGTTCTCCCCTGGAGGGCAGGATGTGGGACTGAAGATTCAGGGACAGTAGGCATTGATTAAAAATATATACTGTGGCAATGGACTTTGGGGACTTGGAGGAAAGGGTGAGATGGGGGTGAGGGATAAAAGACTACACATTGGGTGCAGTGTACACTGCTCAGGTGATGGGTGCACCAAAATCTCAGAAATCACCACTAAAGAAATTATTCATGTAACCAAACACCACTTGTTCCCCCAAAATCTATGGAAATAAAAAATAAAATTATATATAAATATAAAATATATAAAATTATATATAAATATAAAATATATAAAATTATATATAAAATTATGATCCATATATATATATATAATCCAATATATAGTATGTCTGGTTAGTACACTGTGGTCTGGTTCATAGAATCAGAGAATTCAAAATCCAGGTAAGTTCAGTTTAACTCTCTAGTTTTTTTTTGATAATTGAGCTGTGTGATAAATTATAGCTTCTATATATGAACAGCCAAATTTTTTTCTAGTTGAGTATGTCATTTCTGTACATATAAGTGCTTTTTAACATTAAAGACATATTAGAAAGTTCATCTATAAAACTATGAACATAGAATTTGAGGTGTTTACAATGCTAGATTTATATGAAGCCATGTGTTTTGGTAACCCACATGTGCATAAAACTGGCAAATTGTAAAAGCCCCAGAGGGTAGCCAGCAGAGGGTTTTTGTTTGTTTGTTTGTTTGTTTTTTGTTTTAACATTACTCCAGTTAGGGAACTGTTGATCATGGGAGAAGGAGGATAGGCACAGAAGAAATGGCTTTTGACTCAGGGGAAGAATCTTCCTGGTAACACTCAGTTTGGAAAGTCTTCAGCACATCTAAGATGCCTTTTACACTGTATAACTACAACAGATATCTTTGAAGGAGACATTTTTATAGAAGGCAGTAGCAGAGTGTTTACTTCATAGGAGTTTCACTACTATGCATTTCCAGTATTTTAGATTTGTAAAATATCAAATGGGGAAAAATTGCTAGAGAAATAGCATAATAGGTAATGGAGTAGGGGTAGCAGTTTAGAGTGAACCTTGAGCGCTTGCAGATGGCAACACTGTGCGATGTTCCACCTTCTATGTTCACATTTCACTTAACTTTGACACCTTAGATAGACACTGACACACATGGCATATATCCAATTCCATTTTTTACATATCAGCTACTTCAGTGGTGTCTAATCTTTTGGCTTCCCTAGGCCACATTGGAAGAATTGTCTTGGACCACACATAAAATACACTAACAATAGCTGATGAGCTAAAACACACACAAAAAAAATTTCATAATGTTTTAAGAAAGTTTATGAATTTGTGTTGGGCCACATTCAAAGCCATCCTGGGCTGCAGGTTGGACAATCTTGAGCTATCTAATAATTTCAAAATATTGCATGGGTCTATATTCTCATCCTCTCATCTTGTTCACACTAGGCTGGCATTCAGGGCAGGTATCTGCTTTCCTGTCTCAGACTTCCTCTACCCCAGAGCTTCCTCAGTGGGGACAGAGGGATGGTGGTAAGTGGAATGGGCAGTGCTGGGCTGGAAGCAGGTGGCCGTGCAGCCTGGTGATGTTCTCTATACTCAGCCCAGCTGGGAGACACGGGCAGGAGACAAACAACAACCCTTTAATCTTTGATTCAGGTACTAACCAGATTCAGATTGGAGGCTGAATTCCTGATCTGCCTTTGTTAGAAGGCAGGTCTTTGGGGGAAGGGTCACAGGTGGCGGGTGACAAGTCTTTGGAGAAGGGAATGCTGGACTAATTGCTTGTGGCAGGACAAGGAAATGACCAACTGGCTCTCAGGTCAGCAATCCCCAGATACCCATGAAGGTCATACCCACCAACAGGATTACTTGGCTCTGTGAGAGCAGTGTTGGAAAAAAATGTAATTCAGGAGTATTTTTTCCCTGTTAGGTTTCTATAGAAACAACTGTAACATATATGTCTATTGCCTAACTTAGTTAGGCAATACATGTATTAGTTAGGCAATATACGTATTATACTAATATATGTATTAGTTCTATAACATATATGTTATAGAAACAACTATAACATATATGTCTATTGCCTAAAGTTTAATGAGAGACATTAAACTTTGTAACAATTTTTAGGAATATATTACTTACAAAAATAGTATACCATTTCAGACCCCAGAACTGACAGTATTAGTGTGCAACGGCATAAGATATAGAAATAGGAGAGGTGACTCAGATGCTAGAGCAGAGCTAGCACGACCAAGGAGAAAAATGGGTTCCAAATCAGGATAAAGTATGTACACTAGCATTTCCTCAGTGTCCGGGTGACAAGGAGTCAGTGGTTTACACCAGAACTGCAGTGATAATAGCTATGTAAGTGGGGCTGCTAGGGAAATAAGATATCTTTTAGAAATTGTTAAAGAAGCATAATTTACAAAATTTTTATTGAGCATCTACTATTCCAGCAACTGGAATGCAGCATTAAATGAAACAGAAAACCCCTTGCTCTCTTGGCATTAACATAATACTGGAAATCAAGTATACTCGATGGACTTTGTACTTGTTATTCTAGTGACCGTGTTAGGAGCATGTCTTACAGAATGATGGCTGAAGTATCTTGAATGAGTTGCTTACTTCTTACTTAAGTGGAATTGTCATGGTTACTATATTCCATTTCAGCTCTCACTGGAGTGGGTTCTGAGATGTGAAAGAAAGGATGATCTGAAGAAATTAATAGAAAGAAAAAAGGGTTGAGCTGAGAAGAAATGCAGAATGTGTACATTCTCTAAAGGGAGAGGAAACAGTTTGCTACAGGCCAGTCCAATGTAGTCACTTCCAGTTCCCAGATTTAAGGATGGAAATGGAAGTATAACAGTGGCTGATAATTTGGAATATATCTTAGCACTTCTTTCTGTTAAATAGTAACACCTGAAATATGTACAATGCCTCATGACTTATAACCTTCTTTTACTTACTTTATCTTATTGGAACCTAGTAGTAATCCTTTAGGTAATTGGAAAAGGTAATATTAGCTTAATTATGTGCATGAAGACAGGTAGATGGACTAGCAGAAGGAGTTTAGAGTCTTTATTCTACTCATGGCTTTTAACCAGAGCTCAATATGTAAGCGTTTTCTGGGTAACCCAAATGGTAAAAAAATTCTGATGGTCTCCTAATAGTTTCATGGGAGGACACAGATTTTCGGGGTGTTTCAGGTCCAATGGGAATGATTCTGTTTTCTCTGTGTAGACAAATGCTGCTTTAATTTTGTGTAGATATATCTCTAAGTTGTGTTCTTCTTGAAACAGATAAAAACCAATGCTAGGACAGAGGTAATTCTACACTTGATCTTAGCCAAAAGGCTGAGAAGCAATTCAGAGGTAATTCTAGAGATCTTGTTCTGCTCATATTTTAAACGAGAAAACTGAGACACAAAGAGGTTATTGGTTTACCAAGTTAAAAATTCTTAATATAGAATTTTAATAATAATAATGTAATATAGCTGAAACTCATATAATTACTTCAATAGGACAATTTAATAATATAGCAGAAACTCAACTGATAACTTCAACAGGACAATTATGTTGTAAAATTGATGAAAATGAAGTCTGTAGACACAAACATACGATAAAACATGTGCTCTTACTGATTCATTGACTTCTCTTAGCCATAATATTTATCTACCAAATTTCCCTTTATTTTTAGTGGTGTTTTATATTTATTGCAGCTAATTGATTCTGCAGAGAAAAATAAGCCCTGGTGCCTCTGACAGGTGCAGCAGCCTCGTGCAGTATGTTCTCATTATGCTTATGTAAAGTAAGTCTCTACTATCAAATGTTAAGAAACAACACAGTGGGGCAAATTTTAAATTAATGGTTTCAGAAAATATCCTGCAGCCTCATAGTGTATCTTGTCAGCTCTCTCAAATTGTGGACATTCATCAGAGGTCTTAAAAGAGAATGGCAGGAAGTCAGGGAACTGAAGGTTTAGTAGTAATAAATGGTATGTAAGCCAATATATAGTTGGCTTAGTGTTGTTCTGTGGGATAAGAAATGCTTCTAAACCAAGAAATTACAGAAAACATGCACAAACATATTTTTTGACTTTGGACAGTTCATGACGGTATCCTTCCAAGATTAAATTAAGAAAACTAACACTTAATTTCATAGCTCAATAGGAATTGTTGAAATTGTGATACTGTAGCAAACTAAATTAATAATTTTTTAAAAAATAATTCAGGTATTGTCTGGGCACAGTGACTTATGCCTGTAATCCTAATGCTTTGGGAGCCTGAGGCAGGAAGATTGATTGAGGCCAGGAGTTCAAGACCAGCCTGAGAAAGTAGTGAGACCCCGTCTCTACAAAAAAATTAAAATTACCTGGGCATAGTGGCACATTCCTGTAGTCTCAGCTACTCAGGAGGCTGAGGTGGTAGGACAGCTTGAGCCCAAGACTTTGAGGCTCTAGTGAGCCATGATTGTGCCACTGAACTCCAGCCTGGGTGACAGAGTGAGACCCTGTCTCAATAGCAATAA
Source organism: Homo sapiens (assembly GCF_000001405.40). Taxonomy (NCBI): domain Eukaryota; kingdom Metazoa; phylum Chordata; class Mammalia; order Primates; family Hominidae; genus Homo; species Homo sapiens. The sequence goes on from NC_000004.12 coordinate 112,990,280, forward strand.
AATAATAATAATAATGCAGGCATTGAGCTAAAACAATAACTTGGAGTCCGTTAAAAGGCTGACATGATCAGAGTCTCTCACTAATAGTCAAGGTATAAAAGTCCCACCTCTTAGATATTATTATAGATGACACCCATTCTGAGTCTATTCTCTGATTAAACCCAGGCACTTCTTTCCTGTTTTATGTCCAGCATGTTTGTCAGAGGGTTTTTTTTTTATACCTGTCTTGGTGTATCTGAGAGTAACATATCTATGTCTGGGTGTGTTTCAGAGACAGAGATTGAAATTCATCATCTCCATAGCCCTCATCTAGATCAATATTTCATGTTTTTAAATGATAGGCATTTCAAGAAAAGAAGATACCAATTTTGAGGAGTATAGTAGACAAAGGGCATGACTCACTGCTTGTTCATGTAAATCTTCTACCTTTATCACAGGACAGAATATGCTCAGAGCACCAGGATTCTCCTTTTCCCTCCTTACCACCCTCCATGTGCATGGTTGGTGTGATGGTCATTTTGATGTATCCACTTGGCTAAGCAGTCTCCAGTTATTCTATCAAACTCTAAGTGTTACTGTGAAGTATTTTATAGATGTGATTAAAGGAAGACCACCTAACAAACTTCCAAATTGGATGTTCTTAAATTACAACCAAATTCATCCTAATTTTCTTTCTTTGAAATCCTATTGGGCAAGGCTCAGTGGTTCATGCCTGTAATCCCAGCACTTTGGGAGGCCAAGGCGGGTGCATCATGAGGTCAAGAGATGGGGACCATCCTGGCCAACATGGTGAAACCCCGTCTCTACTAAAAAATACAAAAATTAGCTGGGCATGGTGATGCATGCCTGTAGTCCCAGCTCCTCGGGAAGCTGAGGCAGAATTGCTTGAACCCAGGAGGCAGAGGTTGCAGTGAGCCGTGATTGCGCCACTGCATTCCAGCCTGGTGACAGAGCCTCAAAAAAAAAAAAAAAAAATCAAGAACCTCGTGTTGGAGACCTTCATTGGTTCAATGATATTAAAAACCCTGTAGCACTCATTTGCTGCATTCATGTCTGTATTTGGGGTGCAAAAGCTTGGGGTATCATATTGAGCAATGTGTTAGCTCAGATTTCCATAACAAAATGCCACAGATAGGGTGGCTTAAAACCCAGAAATTTATTTAATTCAAACTGGCAGTGTCTTTGCTGGTATAATCCCTTCTCTATTCCTGGCTTCTGTTGAGATGGCTGATTAAGTTCATGTGTTACACACACAGTCTTTTAATCAAATGGCTGTTCAGCCACACCCCTCGTATTCTCTTCAGAGCAAGCTTTTTTTTTTCTTTTCTTTTCTTTCTTTCTTTTTTTTTTTTTTTTGCAATATGGATAGGCTGAGAATTTTCCAAATCTTCAATTTCTGGTTCGTTTTGCTTAATAATTCCGTCCTCAACTGAACTCCTTCCCTTCTCAGTTTACCAGAAGCAGTCAGGAAAAATGAAGCTGCTCCTTCAATACTTTGTTTAGCAATTCCCTCAGATTCATCACCTGCAGTTTTACCTTCTACAGAACACTAGAACACAGTTCAGCCAAGTTTTTTTTTTTCCACTATATAAAAAGGATTGCCTTTCCTCCAGTTTCCATTAATATGTTCCTCATTTCCATTTGAGACCTCAGCAGAATGGCCCTTAACGTCTGTATTTCTACATTTTGTACATTATTTTACGTATTCTCTGAGAAGATGGAAACTTTCTCTTTTTCCTTCCAACTTGCCCTCGTCTTTTATTTCTGGGCTTTTGCTAGAATTGCATATAAAATCCATATTTTTATTATGAACCTCAAAACTCCTTTAGCTTCTACCCATTCATTACCTAGTTCCAAATCTACTTCTACTTTTTTTTTTTTTTAGACGGAGTTTCACTCTGTCACCCAGGCTGGAGTACAGTGGCGTGATCTCAGCTCACTGCAACCTCCGCCTCCCAGGTTCAAGCAGTTCTCCTGCCTCAGTTTCCCAAGTAGCTGGGATTACAGGCATGAGTCACCACGCCCGGCTAATTTTTGTATTTTTAGTAGAGATGGTGTTTCACCATGTTGGGCAGGCTAGTCTTGAACTCCTGACCTCAAGTGATCCACCCTCCTTGGCCTCCCAAAGTGCTGGGATTACAGGTGTGAGCCACAACGCCTGGCCTACTTCTACATTTTTAGGTATTTCTTGGTACCAAAGTCTGTATTAGTCAGCTTAGGCTGCCATGACAAAATACCATAAACTGGGTGACCTAAAAAACAGAAATTTATTTCCGACAGTTCTGGAGAGTTTGAGTTGTGCGTGCCAGTATGATCGGGTTCTGACAAGGGCTTTCTTTCTAGCTTCTCACTGTGTTCTCACAGGGCAAAGAGAGGGATGACAAAAAACAAGCTCTTGGTGTCTCGTCTTGTAAGGGCACGAATCTCATCAAGAGGGCTCCACCCTCATGATCTCCTCTAAACTTAATCACCTTTCAAGGATTCCATCTCCAAATACCATCACATTGTGCATTAGGGGTTTAACATATACATTTTGGGAGAAAACAGTTCAGTCCATACCAAGCAAAAATGCGGATGCTTATTTCTTAAAATTGACATCTGTTCTTAAAATGTTGTATCTATAATTGCCAAACCTATTCAAATGTGTTATATCTGAAAGTTTGAATTAGTTGGCCCTTTTCCTGATACCCTTCATTAATTTATTTAAAATATTTAGTGTGGGGCCTGACACAGTGGCTCATACCTGTAATTCCAGCACTTCAGGAGATTGAGGCGGGAGGACTGCTTGAGCCCATGAATTCGAGACCAGCCTGGGCAACATAAGGAGACCTTGTCTCTACAAAAAATAAAAAAAAATAGGTGGGCATGGTGGTGTGCCCCTGTAGTCCCAGGTACTCAGGAGGTCGAGGTGGGAGGAATGCTTGAGGCTGAGAAGTCGAGGCTACGGTGAGCCATGTTTGTGACTGCACTCCAGGCTGGGTGACAGAGCAAGACCCTGTCTCAAAAAAAAAATATTTAGTGTATACCTTCCTTTCTTTTTTTAGACAGAGTCTCGCTCTGTCACCCAGGCTGGAGTGCAGTGGCGCGATCTTGGCTCACTGCAACCTCCACCTCCCAGGTTCAAGCAATTCTCTGCCTCAGCCTTCGGAGTAGCTGGGATTACAGGTAGCCCGCCACCATGCCTGGCTAATTTTTTTTTTGTATTTTTGGTAGAGACAGGGTTTCACCATTGTGGCCAGGCTGGTCTTGAACTCCTGACCCCATGATCCACCCGCCTCGGCCTCCCAAAGTGCTGGGATTACAGGCATGAGCCACTGTGCCTGGACAGTGTATACCTTCTATATATTGTAGATTACTGTGAGTGCTAGGAGCATTAAAAGAAACAAAAGGAAGGCTTCAGGTGCATAAAGCTTACATTCTATTGGCAACTGCATTTTTTTTTTTTGACACAGGGACTCACTCTGTCACCCAGGCTGGAGTGCAGAGGCACGATCTTGGCTCACTGCAACCTCCGTCACCTGGGTTCAAGCAATTCTCCTGCCTCAGCCTCCTGAATAGCCAGGATTACAGGCACGCACCACCATGCCCAGCTAATTTTTTGTATTTTTATTAGAGACAGGGTTTCCCCATCTTGGCCAGGCTGGTCTTGAACTCCTGGCCTCAAGTGATCTGCACTCCTTGGCCTCCCAAAGTGCTGGGATTACAGGTGTAAGCCACCATGCCCGGCCGGCAACTGCATTCTTTGGAGTGTCCATCCACACAAACATATTTTCATTTGACAGTCTGGAACATCTCACGTATTGCTAGCAAGCAGGTTTGGATGCTGATGTTTGGATCTGAATGGAGCACTACTACATTAATAAAAGCAGATATTAATCCCGACTTTTTGTTTTATATGGGATTTGTTTATATTTTTAATTGTCAAAGAAAAATTATATATATGGTGCCAACAGTCAACTGATTTTCTTGTCATTGTTTTGATACTATCTGGGAGACAGCAACATTTTTACAGATTCTATAACCCTTGAAGAAAGAACACTTCTATGTTTTTGGCACATATTGCAATAAATGGATGGACACAATTCCTTCATTGGCAGATTCATAGCAACTAATAGCAAAAAGAAAAGTAATGTGATCTTTTACAAAATTCGAACATTTCTATCTCAGCTAGGTCAACAATTCATAGGAGAATAAGCTAAAAAGTATTGTGGGAGTTTTCTGTACTAATGAAGTTAAAGTACTCAGAATGTAAGTTTTTATGAGACAATCTCCAGTAGTTTAAAAAATTCACTGTGGTATAGACATCGGGCTTTTGGATTTTTAAAAAATTTCAACTTCTATTTTAGATTCAGGGGGTACATGTGCAATCTTGTTACATGGGTGTATTGCGTGATGCTGAGGTTTGGGGCATGAATGATCCTGTCACCCAGGTACGGAGCATAGTACCCAATAAGCAGTTTTTCAACCCTTTCTCCCCTTCTTTCCTCTGCCCCAGTAGTCCTCAGTGTCTGTTCCCATCTTTATGTCCATGTGTACCCAGTGTTTAGCTCCCACTTATAAGTGAGAACATGCAGTATTTGAATTTCTGTTTCTGAGTTAATTTGCTCAGGATAATGGCCTCTAGCTGCAGCCATGCTGCAGCAAAGGACATGACTTCATTCCTTTTTTATGGCTGCATAGTATTCCACGCTGTATATGTACCACATTTTCTTTATCCAGTCCACCACTGATAGGCACCTAGGTTGATTCCAGGTCTTTGCTATTTGTGAATAGTGCTGCGATGAACATACATATGAGTGCATGTGTCTTTTGGTTAGAGTGATTTAATTTCCTTTGGGTATATATTCAGTAATGGGATTGCTAGGTCAAATGGTAATTCTATTTTTCATTCTTTGTGATGTCTCCAAACTGCTTTCCACAGCGGCTGCACTAATTTACATTCCCACTAATAGTGTATGAGCATTCCCTTTTCTCTGTAGTCTTGCCAACATCTGATATTTTTTGAATTTTTAATCATAGCCATTCTGACTGGTGTGAGATGGTATGTCATTGTGGTTTTTGCATTTCTCTGATTAGTGATGTTGAGCATTTTTACATGTTTGTTGGTTGCTTGTATGTCTCCTTTTGAGAAGTGTATTCATGTCCTTTACTCTGTTTTTAATAGGGTTATTTGTTTTTTGTGTGTTTAAGTTTCTTATAGATTCTGGATATTAGACCTCTGTCAGATGCATAGTTTGTGAATATTTTCTCCCATTCTGTAGGTTGTCTGTTTACTCTGTTGATAGTTTCTCTTGCTGTGCAGAAGCTCTTTAGTTTAATTAGATCCCACTCTTCAATTTTTGTTTTTGTTGCAGTTGCTTTTGGGGACTTAGTTACAAATTTGCCAAGAACAATTTCCAAAAGGGCATTTCCTAGGTTTTCTTCTGGGATTTTTATAGTTTTAGATCTTACATTTAAGTCCTTAATCTATCTCAATTTCATTTTGTGTATGGTGATAGGTAGGGGTCCAGTTGTATTCTTTCTAGCGGACATCAGGATTTTGATGTATAATTTGCTTTTATGGAATGTTGATGAGTATTCCAAATTCTTTGGAACTCTCATACACTGCTGGTGGGAATGTAAATGGTATAAGCACTTTGGAGAACCATTCAGTGTTTTCTTAAAAAGTTAAACATGTGCATACCATGCCTAGCTCTTCCAACATAGAGAAATAAAAGCATAAACCCATGCAAAGACTTCTATGCAGATACTTATAGCAACTTTATTTATAATAGCTCCAAATCGAAAACAACCCAAATGTCTATCAACTGGTGAATAGATAAAAAAGATAAACTATTAATACATGCAATAACATAGATGGATCTCAAAATAATGATCTAGGTGAAGAAGCCAGACATAAAATGAATCTGTGTTGTATGAAAAATTTTAGAAAATGCAAACTAATTCATAGTGGCAGAAAGCAAATCAGTAAGTGCCTGGGAATAGGGATGGGAGCAGGGAGGGCCAGTCTACAAACGAGCATGGGGAAACTTAGGAGTGATGAATATATGTTCATTATCTTAACTGTGGTGATGGCTAATGTGTAAATCATCAAATAGTACACTTTAAATATATGCAAATTTTTATGCTTTAATTATACTCTAATAAAACTATATTTTAAAAGGAAAAGATATTTACTCGTTTTGCACATAAAACATTTACTGTGCTTATAGAATGTAATAGGAACAGCACCTTTTATTGTACCATTCACTTTTCTTATGTCATTATATTTCATTTATCTTAATTCACATAAATTTTATTTACTGATTCATTTTTGATATTTAATTTTTAAATTTTGTGGGTACGTGGTATATTTATGGGGTACATGTGATGTTTTGATACAGGCATGCAACGTGAAATAATCACATCATGAAGAATGAGGTATCCATCCCTTTAAGCATTTGTCCTTTGAGTTACAAACAATCCAATTACACTCTTTATTTTAAAATGTACAATTAAGTTATTATTGACTATAGTTACCCTGTTGTGCCACCAAATAATAGGTTTTATTCATTATTTTTTATTCATTATTTCTAATTTTTGTACGCATTAACTGTCTCTACCTCCCCGATCCCCAGCCCCCTACTACCTTTCCCAGCCTCTGGTAACCATCCTTCTCCCTATGTCCATGAATTTAATTGACATAAATTATAGACTTCTCTCCTAATGCTTTTTCACTCTCTGTCTAGTATATCTTCACCAGTTAAGATTATGACAAAGTTTATTTTCCTGTATTTTTCAAACTGCACATATGTCCCTGCTCTATGGATTTTTTTTTAGGCTTTTAATGTCACTCTATTTTTTAAATTGACAAATAAACATTGTATATATTTATGGTACACAACCTGATATTGTGAAATATGTATGCACTGTGGAATGGCTAAATCAAGCTAATTAACACATGTATTGCTTCATGTACTTATCATTTTTGTGTGTGGTGACAACACTTAAAACCTATTCTCTTTAGCAATTTTCAAGTACACAGTAAGTTGTTATTAACTAGAGTCACCAGGTACAATAGATCTCTTGAATTTGTGAAATTTCTGACTGACCAAATCTGTGATCCCTCTTATTTATATTCCCATCTGCTCCTCCTCTATCCTCCAAAAACTACTGATATGCAATATGCTTAACAGATATCTAACAATATCAACCCTCACTACACCTTGAAACTTTTCAGATGCAGAGGTGATGCCTCCACAAAATCCCTTTTGTGTATTTTACTCCTTGTAGCTCATTTCTAGTCAAACACCTAAAAAAGACTCCATAGAACTTCCCTGTTTTGGAGACTGTAGCATTTGTTCTTTTCTTCCAGTATATGTGTGCACAAATATTTTGGTCATATTATCATTCATTTAATTAGTTAATTATTTTTTTCATTGACAAGTAAAAATTGTATGTGGTATACAACATGGTATGTATATATATGTGTATATATACACACACATATATACACATGTATACAAATGACTTAAACATATATACACACACACACATATATGCACATATATACAAATGACATATATATATACACACACACATATATATACACACACACACATACACATACATTATAGAATTTTGGGCTATTTTTTTTTTTTCTAATTTTAGAGTCTGTTTCTCAAAACTTTGGTGTCATTTGCTGACTGTTTTGTCCAAATACATAAGCACGTGGAAAATTGTAACCCTTAAAGGCCATCTTTTGAGCATGTGGTCCTAAATGAGATGGTCTTAATTCCTCACATTTTATTATCAGAAGCTACTAGAATTATAAAAAGTCCATTAGTTAAGACTGATGTTAAGACAGTGTCCAACACACTGTGAGTTTTTCAGAAATCTTAGATAACCCAGTGGCAATAAATAATCGCCATTTTCAAGGTACATTTGCCTGTTTTGCCAAGGGCAAATGGACTCTTTCAAGCAGAAGTCAATTATGTCTGCCTTTTGTAGGTGCAATTTTCCCCTCACCCACTGGGCCCTTAGGGTACAATTCAAAAGAGATTTGTGCCCAAAATGAGTGATGGTCTTTAACAACTGTTAATACTGAGTACCATTTGCCAGAAGTGTCCTCTGCCTTTTCATTCAACCTCAGTCACATACTAGCATCCATCATAATGCATTTGCCAGGGGTTTCCAGGATGACTTTAAGTAGTAATGTTAGTGAATGAGAAGAAAAGTGCCCAGTGAGCCTAGTTAGAGTTGGTGCTGGATGTCTTACTTTATAATGACTGCTGCATATTTGAAACATACTCATTGATCAGGTTTCCCAAATTGCATTATGCAGAACTCTAGAGGTTCATGAGATATTAATAGGTGGTTGGTTAAAAAAATTAGAGTGTCATGGTTAAATAAATTTGGGAAAGTGTGTTAAATAAAGTTAAGCAGATTCATCTGCTGTGGGATTTCTGAGAACCTTCCATATGTCATTGTGAATTTTGAATCTCTAAAATAAGCATATAGTACACAGCATTGCCTAAACATGTTTGATCACAGCACCCTTTTTCAAAATTTAAAAATATCCAATTGCATCTTGCAGAAAATGAACACTCTTCTAAATTAATTTGGAGAAGTCTTTCTGTATATACTTCCTTTTGTATATGTTTTCATTGCAAATCAAAATGGGAGAGATTGGAAAAATAACTATATAACAAAGTGAGAGAGAATGCTATAACTAAAATTTAGCAAGAATAACCTTGTCTCCATACTTGTATATGGATAATGTATTTAAATATATTAAATATTGCAACACATACATTATACAAAATGCTATACATGTGCACTTTGTGCCCTTTTAAATATTAAAATAAAACATTTCTTGTCATTATTTCTCTCCAGTTTCCCTCTGCAATACAGACAGATGCTAATAGATAATTTCTTCGTGATTGAGAATATTTTACCAAAATTTAAAAAACTAAAATAATGGTAAGGAATGCAGTTTCAAAAGAGTAACTATAATACTTTATTTTTGTGTATCACCTTACAGTTTGCCAAGTAACCTTGGATATATTATCTTATTTGAGTCTCACAATCATTCTGCAGAGTAGACAAGCCCAGCATGAGCTCTTTTTACATTAAGGAAATGAAGATCAGAGAGATTAAATCACTTACTGATGATTCCCACAGCCATGGGGCACCACGAAACTAAGCCTGCCATTCTGCCTCTCACCTGACAGAGAAAGGGAGGGGACAAAATTCCTGAAGTGTATATATACTTTTGAAATATTTTGTGCTTTTATAAGCTGTCTTGGTTCACTAAAACTTTGGAATACAAAGCCAGTGGTGATTTGCAGCAATATACTAATCCACTAACCCACCCCACCAGTCCTTTTCCTCCTCCTCCTTAAAAAAAAAAAGCAACAAAAAAACCCAAAGAGGCCCATATTCTCCATTTTCAGAATTCCAATCATAGAGGAAAGGTTTTGGCTAAGGATTTTAATTTTATTTGAACCCCCTGGAATCGTCTTACTTTTCTTGGCAAGCATCATTAGAAAGTTAATTTGAGGAGGTGATATATAGAATGTCTTAGAGATGATTGAACATCAGAGAGTTAAAGGGATTTGTTCAATAATGTGTAGTAAAGTTGTGGCAATTAAGAGTGACAGAGAGGAAAAAAACTTTTCCTCTATGCTCCTAAGTTCAGTGGCTAGGAGCCTACACATGTAACTCATGAAAGACAGATTAACACAAGAAAAGGAATACAAGTTTTATTTTATGTGCATGGGAGTTCACATAAAAGGACTCAAAGAAAAGAAGTGAACCCCCACAGAAATGGTTATACCGCAGGGCTTATATACCATTTTAACAAAGAAAAGGGGGGTTGGCTCTGAGGGATGATAAACTGTGGGAAAGTGACTGTGAAATATATGAGTGAAACTAATGGAAGATAAGGGTTATTTCAGTAAGGTATGTTTATGCAGACTCATCTTGGTGCCAGCTGTCTGTCTCTGGTGATAAGAATTGCTCTCCTCTTCCTGGTACAGAGAGATGGACACCTTCATTCACGAAGGGAAATTTATGCTATCTTCACAAAGGGAAGTTTATGTCCTGCTTTTAAGTGGGCAAGGGTGGGCAGAGAACTCTTCCTGCATCTATTGCTTTCCAACTGCCATCAGCTCAAAATAATTCTTATCCCAAAGTGTCATATTTTGGGGTGGCATATCCTGATCCCCTTCACCAGTAAAATCTGGGATTCCTACTTCATTGTCCAGTGTTTCCCCCATTTTACTACGCTGGCAAATGTGTTTATGGAGGAAGATAATCCGGTAAGTGAGTTACAAGTTTTCCAGTGACATAGAATGATATGAAAAAAATTATGAGTTTAGAAAAGTTGAACATGGTAGATAGAGTTCAGTGTTGAGTAAACAAGGAAAACTAGGTTTGTGCACAGTTTTTGGTGAAAGAGTAGAGGCCAATCACATCATCCACCAGCAAAGTAACTCAAAACTGTCATTTCCTTCATGTGGATCCTTGTCATAGTCTTCATGACTGAACAATGACATTAGAATTGTTGATTTTATTATCATCATCCTCGTACCCAAACCATCATCACTGGGAAGGAGATTATCACCAGATAATGACTACTTCTTTATTTTCCTGTTTTTGAACTACAGGAATAATTCCTACAAAAGTTTGAGCTCATGTCTGAGATAGTAGATATCAGATGCATGTTGAACAGTTTTTTTCTTTCCATTGGATTTTGTCACTTCCTTTCTTTTTCCTTAAAAAATAATGTGAGGTCGGGCACGGTGGTTCACGCCTGTAATCCCAGCTCTTTGGGAGGCTGAGGCGGGTGGATCACCTGTCAGGAATTTGAGACCAGCTTGGCCAATTGGCAAAACCCTGGCTCTACTAAAAAGACAAAAATTAGCCGGGCATGTTGGCAGGTGCCTGTAATCCCAGCTACTCAGGAGGCTGAGGCAGGAGAATCGCTTGAACCTGGGAGGCGGAGGTTGCAGTGAGCCGAGATCCCACCACTGCACTCCAGCCTAGGCGACAAAAGCAAAACTCTGTCTCAAAAAAAAAAAAAAAAAAAAGGTGAAACTTTATGCTTGACAATTAATAAAAATAACTTTATCATAAAAAAGTAAATAACTAAGCAAAACCACCAAAGGAAAGACTATAGTCAAGTGGTTGACATATTCTTGAATATCTTGGGAGTGTGTCAGATTAGTAAGTATTTAACTTTGACTTCCCTTCCCCGACAAAAAAATTCAAAGCATTTCAGTGTCTCCATATTTTAATTAAGTGAAAATTATTCAAATATTATTTGGCCTTTGATTCTAGTGACCCCTCATTCTTTATGAATTTGACCCTGCTTTGGATTCTGGGAGCCCACCAAGTAAATTCCACTTACAGTTCTGGTCATTCCTCAGTCAGTCTAACAAGGATTCCCTTCTATATGACAGTTAGGAGTTTGAGTTTCTCTAAGCTTCTGTCCTCAGGCTTCTCTCCTCTCGCTCACATCCTGGGGTGAATGGTGATGAGATAAACCATCACAAAATGAGCATTTTGATTATGACAGCGAATCTCAACAGCCTCCAGATGTGCATTTCCATGTAGTTATTTCTCCAGTCCTGACTAGGCACATGCTCCAGCCAGAAAGCCCAAATTCTCCCTTTTATTTCCACATTCAATTATCTAATGTCTTAAAAATTCCACCTCCTAAGCATTGCTCATCCGTTTCTTTTATTTATTTATTTATTTATTTTTATTATTATTATTTTACTTTAAGTTTTAGGGTACATGTGCACAATGTGCAGGTTAGTTACATATGTATACATGTGACATGCTGGTGTGCTGCACCCACTAACTCGTCATCTAGCATTAGGTATATCTCCCAATGCTATCCCTCTAGAACTAGAAGTACCATTTGACCCAGCCATCCCATTACTGGGTATATACCCAAAGGACTATAAATCATGCTGCTATAAAGACACATGCACACGTATGTTTATTGTGGCACTATTCACAATAGCAAAGACTTGGAACCAACCCAAATGTCCAACAATGGTAGACTGGATTAAGAAAATGTGGCATGTATACACCATGGAATACTATGCAGCCATAAAAAATGATGAGTTCATGTCCTTTGTAGGGACATGGATGAAATTGGAAATCATCATTCTCAGTAAACTATCGCAAGAACAAAAAACCAAACACTGCATATTCTCACTTATAGGTGGGAATTAAACAATGAGAACACATGGACACAGGAAGGGGGACATCACACTCTGGGGACTGTTGTGGGGTGGGGGGAGAGGGGAGGGATAGCTTATCCATTTCTTGATCTCCACCTGTACTACAGACCTTTGTCATTTCCTACCTTGAAAATTGAAATAGGCTTCTTTTTTTCTAATTTCCAGGCTAGCCCTTTCTGGGGCATTTTGGACTTTCTCTGTTAATAACACTTCAATACCTATGGAGATAAAGTCCAAACACCTTGACAGGACATAAAGCTCTCTTGTGAGTGGGTCCTTGTCCATCTTTTCAGTCTCATCTCCTCCCACTTCCTCTAAGATTATGACATATTTCCTCTGGGAAACTATTTGTAGTTCACCAAATCACCTCTTTCTCTCAGGCCTCTGTGGCTCTGTACAGACTCTTGCCCATCTGATATGACTTTGCCCACTTTGTCTCTTGGGAGACACTTATTCATCCTTCAGGTGACATTCTCTTATGCAACCATCTGCCATGGGTTCACTCCCACAGCCTGTTTTTGCAGACATTATTAATGGCAGGTAACACATATTTTAGTGGTTTTAGAGACCTGTGTGTTTTATTGTAAAAGTTTGATCTCTTTGAGTATGGAAATCTTATCTTGTAATTCTTTATAACCCCAATTGCAACAGCAATAGAAAAAGTAAGATCCATGAGTATAAACAAAACAAGCAATGTGCGAGCTTTTATGAAACAATTTTTTATATAATTGCAAGGTCTCAAAAGAAGATATGAATAAATAGATAGGCATGACATGTTTTTGCTTAGGTAAATTCTATATCACATAAGTTTTTCCTAAGTTAATCTATATATTTGACCTTACCTCCCTGAGATATTATAGATTTCTTTTTTTTGAACTAGACAACACTCAAATGAAAAAAAATAATGAATCAAAAATTTATTGAAAAAATACTTGCAAAGGAGAGTAATGTATGAGGGAACTGGTCTGGCCGAATATTATTAAATACTATAAAATGTAGAATATAGTATGGAATATGAAAAGAGACAAATCAATGCAACAGAAGAGAAAGTCAAGAAATAAACTGGATACATATGAAGATTGACTATATGATCAAGGTGACATCCCAAGTCTGTAGAGACCAATAATTGGTGTAGGGTCAGTGGTCCAGTTTGAGAAAGTGATCTTGTGTTACACCACAGTAAATGATAGTGAACTGAATACTTAAATGTGAGAAATGAAAGCATAAAAGAAACACAGTCATGTGTCGCTTAACGACAGGGATATGTTCTGACAAATTCATCCTTAGAATGTACTTACACAAACCTAGATGGTATATTGCCTACAACATGCCTAGGCTATATGGTATAGCTTGTTTCACCTAGGCCACAAACTTGTACAGCATGTTGCTGTACTGAATACTGTAGCAATCATAACACAATGATCAGTATTTATGTATCTAAACATGGAAAAGGTGCAGTAAAAATACAATATAAAAGATAAACAATGATACATCGGTATAGGGCACTAACCATGAATGGAGCTTGCAGGACTGGAAGTCACTGTGGGTGAGTCAGTGAGTGAGTGGTGAGTGAATGTGGAGGCCTAGAACATTATTGTACACTAATGTTGACTTCACAAACACTGTGCACTTAGGCTACACTACATTTATATTGAAAAGCTTTTCTTTCTTCGATAATAAGTTAACCTTAGCTTACTGTAACTTTTTGACTTTATAAACATTTTGTTTTTTTAAACTTTTAGACTCTTTTATAATAACATTTAGCTTAAAATACAGATTCATTGTACAATTATACAATTAGGATATAAAGAAATTTTGTTTTCTTTGTATCCTAATTCTATAAACTATTTTCTATTTAAAAATTTTTTTTGTTTTTAATTTTTTTTTCTTAAACAAAGACACAAACACCCACAGTAGCCTCGCCCTACATAAGATTAGGATCATCAGCATAGCTGCCTTCCACCTCCACATCTTGCTCCACTGGAAGGTCTTCAGGGGCAGTAACACACATGGAGCTGTCATCTCCTATGACAACAACGCCTTCTTCTAGAATAACTCCTGACAGACCTGTCTGAAGCTATTTTACAGTTAACTTCTTTTTCTATAAGTGATGGGGAATACTCTAAAATAAGAATAAAAAGTATGGTATAGTAAATACATAAACCAGTTACATAGTAGTTTATTATCAAGTTTTATATACTGTACCTAATTGTATATGCTATTATTTCATACAACTGGCAGTGCAGGTTTGTCTACATCAGCATCACCACAAACACATGAGTAATGTGCTGTGCTGTGACATAATGGACAGCTGTGACATCACGAGGTGATAGGAATTTTTCAGCTCCATTATAACCTTTAAGACTGCTGCCATATATAGTGTCCATCATTGACTGAAATGTCATCACGTGGCGCATGACTGTATTTTAATAAGCCGTAAGAGAATCTTTTTATAACCTTGAAGTGAGTAAATGCTTTTTAACTAAGACATGAAAACAATAAGCCATAAGAAAGAAGACTGATGAATTCAACTACATATGAATCAAGAGTTTCTGCATCATGCAAAGATCAACATAAATAAATTTAAGAAATAAGAAATCAGGGAGAAATATTTGCAACTTGTATCATAGACAGGGCTAATTTACCTAATTTATAAAAAGCTTGCATTTCTCAAAAACCTAAAAATAGAACTACTCTATGACCCAGCAATTCCACCATTAGGTATGTATCCAAAGGAAAAAAAAATCAGTATACCAAAGGGGTACCCACACTGCATATTTATCACAGCACTATTCACAATAGCAAAGATTTGGAATCAACCTAAGTGCCCATCAAGGAAAGAATGGATAAAGAAAATGTGATATATATAATCAATAGAATACTACTCAGCCATAAAAAGAGGATTTGCTATTTGCTGCAGCATGGACAGAACTGGAGGTCATTAGGTTAAGTGAAATAAGTCAGGCACAAAAAGGCAAATACCACGTGTCCTCACTCATATGTACGAGCTAAAACAGTCGCTCTCATGGACATAGAGAATAGAATAATAGATACCAGAGACTGTGAGGGGTGGGTAGGAAGGAGAGAGGATGAAGAGAGATTGGTTATGGGTACAAACATACAGTTAGATAGAAGAAATACATTTTAACGTTTGATAGTAGACTAGGGTAATATGATTTGAATGTATGCCGCCTCCAAATCACATATTGAAATGTGATCTGCAGTGTTGGAGGTGGGCCTAGTGGGAGGCATTTGGGTCGTGGTGGTGGATCTCTCATGAATGTCTTGGTGCTGTCTTCACAGTAATGAGTGAGTTCTCACTTTATGAGTTCATGCAAGATCTGGTTGTTTAAAAGTGCCTGGCACCTCCTCCTCTTCCCTCTTGCTCCCTCTTTCGCTACATGACATGCTGGCTCCCCTTCACTTTCCACTATGATTGTAAGCTTCCTGAGGCCCTCACCAGAAGCAGATGCCAGCACCATGCCTTGCGTACAGCCTGCAGAACAACTGTGAGCTAAATAAACCTTTTTTCCTTTATAAATTACCATTCTCAGGTATTCCTTTATAGCAACACAGAATGGACTAACACATAGGGAGACTATTCTTCACAACAATATTCTGCATATTTCAAAGTAACTAGAAGAAAGGACTTGAAATCATACAACACATAAAAATGATAAACAGTTGAGAAGACGGATAGCCCAAACAACCTGACTTGGTCATTACACATTCAACATATGTTACAAACACATCTACCTCATAAATACATAAATTATTATATATCAATAAAAGGAGGGAAAAGCTCCCACATTCAATAAGGCAAAGACTGATGAGCCAATAAAAATAAGTAAAAGAGATGAGAAGATAGTGGAAAAGGAAATATAAGTGCCTCTTCAACATGTGAAAGGAGGTACAACTTCACTCACAAGAGCAGGACAAGTTTAAATACATTGAGCTCTCATTATTTATCCTTCAGATTAGCAAACATAAGAAGTCTTGGTAATAATTTTTGTTAGAAAATGTGGAGAAACAATCTTTTCTTATAGACTGTTGATAAGAGTATAAATGGGCACAGGATTTCTACAGGGCAATTTGGCAATATCTATTGAAGTTACAAATATACATATTCTTTGATCCAGCAATTTTACATATTATTTAATTCACAGATTTATTTGTAACTGGGTTAATGTACTTAGAAATATCAATACAATTTTAAATTAAAAATTAAATCAACTTTTGCTTAAAAGCATCTTCATTTCAGCATCTTTTGGTCTAGTGTTATCTTTTCCCTTTTCCTTATCCTGCCTCATGGTGGGGCAATATATCTCCTTACATTTGGTTTCAAACATGTAGGACTTTGTCATGAATCCATTATGAACCTGACTGACACATTTCTCTGAAAATTTTGTACTTTAAAAATTGTTAACAATTAGCAGAAAAATTAGAACAAGGAAAATGGTTACTCTTCTTATCGTCTATTTTGGAACCAAAAAGCTAACATTTTATTTAGCCTGAGAAAGTAAATGGTCTTAAATCATCGATATGCCATCCATTGCTTTTCCAAAACAGTGATATATTTTTTAAAAAATCAGTTATTTCTTTTTGGGTACATACTTTGCTCAAATGTTATTTACTTATTTTAACTTATAATAAAAATGGATAAAATATGTAATACATGAAGCTGCCCGATTTGAGTATTTTGTGCAGCGGTTAGTATAAATATTTTGACCTTCATCTTGTCCTCTGGGGAAAAGAGTAAGCTTTCAGCTTTTCAGAATGGCGTTTTCACACATATGGCCACAGGCTGTGCTATCCTGGAGAAGCAGGTGGCTAAGTGTGGTTCTGGTCACAGAGCACCCAAAGATTTATCCTTGCCTGATGACAACTACACTCAGAAACTGTATATAATCAGCAGTTCCATTACAGGATACCCAAATACGATGTTCTTAGGGCATCAGAGTATGTTTTTTTCCCGTGTGCTTCTTAGAAAGTGTTTTATTCTCCCCATCTCAGAAGAAAACTATTACTTACAGAAGAGAAAGGGCTCTTGAAAGACTTTGATGTCAGAAAATATGACTTACAACCACATCACATTAAATTTAAGACTTCGATTGCTAAACAGTGAATATACATACAGAATTTATTGATGATAAGGAAATTTGTACCTTAAACTACAATTAAGACTTAAAAACAGAAGCAAATAAAAGTGAATAAATAAGCCATGTTATACAAGCACAGGCATAACTAAAATTAAAACACGTATTAGCCTTCTCACTACTTGCACTTGACTAGTCTTAACAAAAGCTAGTATTGGAGTGGACTGCAAACTCAATATGAAACCATATTGTATTGTGGTAGAGATATGGCAGCAAAAAGATGCAATATACATAAATTGCATAGTTCTGTTCCTGATTACTGTGTAACTCCAAACTAGTGAACTCAAGCATTCCAGTTCACCTCCTCTGAAATCTTGCCACAACAGCATACACTTTTCTCCTTGGAGCCATCATCCTGTAGTGTGTTAATTCTTACATTTTACAGTAGTTTTACCTGGAAAAAGTGGTACCTACACCATTAACTTATTAAGCTTTTCCTTTTTTTTTTTTTTTAACTGAATGAGTCTTTCCTTTTGAATTACATTTTTAATGGAAATAAACTAGGGTTATAGTTTCAGGATTTCCCAACTGCATAGGACTGTAAACATTATATAAAGCTTTGTGTGCTACACTTTATTAGCTTTTAAAGGCAGTTGAGTGGAGTTTATTGTACATAAGACTTGCATTTGTAGTTAGAGAAAAGCCTCACATGATTACCATCTGTTTGCTTTTGCAAGTGTAGCCCTAGAATTCTGATATGCCAATAGAAATGTTATTTTAGTTTTAGTTCACACTGGAGGTTTTCCACAGGCAATTTAATTCTCCTATTTGGAAGAATATTTGTGACCCCTGGTTATAAGCCAATAGGCTCAAATTTTGAAATTTACTTACATGAAATTAACACATGATAAATGATATAAGAATTTCAGTTTAACTTATGTTTGGTGCAAAGCTGGAGTTCCTAAAATAAGCCTTTGGTATGTGGTGTCATATGTGAATTAAAAAGTGAGATGATTCTTCTGCAGAAAGGTAATATATAAATGTATCCAAATTCTATTTGGAGGACACAGGGGGGAAATGGTCATTTTCCATTTTGTATCATTAGTGGGATATTTTATTATTTAATAGCCCAGACACTCCATTACTGAAAGTAAGCACAATCCTTGCTGATGGTAGGCAGATGAGGCTGTGATTCTATATTCTGTGTCTAGGTGGTGGATAGGAGCAGTCCAGTCCAGCTGTCCCACAGACTCAGCCTGTTCATTGGGGAAAAGGGCTCAGTGACCACAGCTAACAAAGAAAAGCAGGGAGATAAAGCAAAAAATCTTGCAGCTGCTGATCAGCTGCTTCACTCGTGGGGCCTCAGAGAAAGAATTTAATTTGTCCTAAACAGCATGTTTTAAGTTACAGTACAACACACCTATCCACAGAAGTATACGTGGAAGGCTGTTGGGAACTGGTTCTTCCACCATTCTTGAATCAAAGGTTTTAAATTATAAACATGCAGACAAAGGAGAACACTGTTCTGTTTAGGTTTTTGTTTTTTGAGCTGCTTGTTTCAGGATGCTGTTGAAATCAGAGCAAGAACTAAGTGAGATGGATGTGGTATTAAGTAGATTCCTCAAAATGATGGCAAATCCTTGCTGTTCTTTAGTTTAAATATATTCTGAAAACTACAGAGTGCCTTAAAGTTTTGAAAACTGTTTTAAATATATATTCACTATTTTAAAATTTTATGTGTTCTCTATATATTTTCTCATTCTCCATACCTTTTTAGTTGAAATACTTTTAAATTTATGGCAATGGGTCCAATTGTTAATCTGAAAACATACATTAAGTACAAAATAGAGTATGCAAAAAACCTGTAAACACCAGGAAATTTAGAGCCCTGAAATATGTCTGGAGATTGGAGAAAAATACATCGAGAAGATTTTTCATAAATGTAACTAACCTGCCTTTTAAAAACATGTTTATCCTTTATTTCCCGATCATGAGCATCCCATGATTCTAGAGACTTCAGCTGGGTCAGAGGACCCACAGGGCATATTCTCTGGCTCAGTGTTGGACCACTCCTGATGATAAGTGGCTTGGGAAAGGATTTGGATTTCTCAACATTTGACTGTATGTGTCTTCTGTAAAGTAATGCAGAGTAACTCAGTGCTGTGGTAAATCAAGTTTGGAAATACTCAACTGTGTATTTTAAAAATGTTTTTTCTTTATGGAGTAGGGATGTGCTTTTAATTCTCACTGTATCTTCATTAATGAGCCCAAAGGTTTTAGATTCTATGTTTCCTAAGGCCCCATTGTTGAGAGTACACACACACACACACACACACTCACACACACGTGCTTGTGGTATAATATGCCAGCACTTTGGTTTGGGAATTAGGCAGAAGTTAGCAAATAAGAGAATAATCCTCACATGGCAAAAGGTGAAAAAATTGAAGAAAATGTGAAACTACTTCTGGGGCTTTTACCTTTTGCTTTTATTTTGCCTGGTTTCTCTTTTTGAAGGAACTGTATTGTGTGATTCTTATTTGAAGAAATTGTTGATATCAGTAAGATTGTATAATTTGGTAAATATAAGTACTCTGAGAGAAGTGTTTCCTGTAATGTCAATCAATTTAATCACTATCCACTTAAAAATTGTTCTCTCTACTACAAAACCAATATATTTCCCTCAAAGAACATTTCAAACATAGAGATAAGCCCAAATGAAAAAAGAGTTACCTCTAGTCCTATCAAAATGTAATATTGGATTAAAAATATTTTAATGTATGTATGTTTTAAAAACCTCATTTGTTTACTTATTCATCCATTTATTTATTCAACAAATACATACTGAGCGTAGACTATGCACCTGACATTGCACTAGATGCTGGGAACACTGAAGTGAACAAGACAGTTAAGGTCCCTGCTCTCTGAGAACTTACATCCTAGTTGGGGAAAACAGTCATTAGATATGCAAATAAAGAAACAAATGAGACCATCAATGGTTGTGATAAATGCTAGGAAGGAAATGAACAGCCTGGTGTGATGGAGAGCCTAAAGAGGAGTCCTCTTTAGACATGGTAGATGGGAACCAATTCAGGAGATTTATAAATCCATACCCAAACAGAGTATTTTAGGTAGAGAATGCCAGGTGTACACAGTTTTTAACCTGTCCTCTTTCCCACTAGATATAAATGTCACAGTTCTTCATATAAAACTCTTGTGGTAATAGATAGCTTAGAATTTTTTGAACCTTTGAAACATAATATGGTTAAATACATACATTAGGTAACATTTTCAGCAGTGTCTGGGGCAGTGGGGCAGCAATCTGTCATACACACATTAATATACCTCTAGTGAAGCAAGAATAATCACACTGTGTGAGAAAATGACTATGACTAGCCTCACTTCAGATTAGGTTTTGGTGTCAAATGAGTCCTGGTCAGAAAAAGTTTTGCTGCTAAATAAGTTATATATAAACTTTTGATTTTCTGCATATTTTGGATTTAAAGATAATAGTAAGGGGATGGTGGAGCTGTATTTCATAATACAAAACAGCATAATCAATTTCGCTAATGTCACATTTTTATACATCTATGCTGTTTCCATTTAGGTTATTCAGGTGAGATAAAATGTTTAAGCTGGGATAAATGTTTTTCTAGACATATATTTGTGGACATTAGTGATCATTTTCTTAGGATATATTTGTAGGGGAGGTGAAATTTTATCTCTGCTCTCTTAGAGTTCTTTGGGCCTGAGAATTAAACTGACTTAAGGCAGATTAACAGGAGAAAAGCATACAAATTTATTTAATGTGACTTTTATGTGACATGGGAGCTCTCCTAAGGAAATGAAGACCCAAAGAAGCAGTTAGAATTGAATGCTTATATACAGAATTGGACAGAGAGTAGTGGATTGTGAAAATGTGACAAGACAAAAGAGCTTGGCCTAGAGTCGTTAATCATGAAAAAGTAACTAGAAGATAAGGGATAGTTTAACAAGGTTGGTTTGTCAAGATTTCTCTGGGTCTTGACTCCCTGTCTCTGGTGACAAGGATGTAATTTTCCTTCTGGTATAGAGAGGACATCTTACATATGGATATTTTATCTCCTGCTTTTAGGAACAAAAATGGGGAGGTCAGAGGATCCTTCTTGCACTTGCTGTTTTTTTAAGTGCCTTTAGCTCAAAATAATTCTTTATGCCAAAGTGGCATATTTTGGGGTGGCATAGTCTGCCACCCTTCACATTCAATTGTTATGTAAGGGTTGTGCAAACAATTTTATGCATATTTCTTATGTAGAAATTTTATTTTATATTTAAAAAATAAGTCCTCTCGGAAGAGTTTCCTAATTCTGTAGCTGAGTTGAGGGTTATTATTCTCATAATACCATGTCTGAGGCTCAAATTTCATCATGTTTAAAAGCAACAACAACAACAACAACATGTTCTTTGGTCCTGGTTGTTTTTCACTTTAATGCCTTTACACTTGATCCTCCATTTATAACAGAAACTGCATGTATATAGAGATTGGATTATTTACCACGAAAATGCAGCCATTCAGGGGAAGGAGGAGAAGGTAATTGGTTTTTATTCCCTATCAAAACAGAATGATTCAGGACCTGGAGTTATAGAAAAGTGTCCTTTATTTAATTACAGAACCATGGGCCATGTTGACAGATTTCTGAGCT